>NC_000003.12:109766180-110069210 GCF_000001405.40 Homo sapiens
GAGTAAGAACAGGCGGTGTTTGGTTTTCTGTTCCTGTGTTAGTATGCTGAGAATGATGACTCCCAGCTTCATCCATGTTCCTGCAAAGGACATGAACTCATTCTTTTTTTGTGGATGCCCATTGTTTTCTAAGGGTCTGTTTATGTCTGTCTGTCTGTCTCTCTCTCTCTCTGTGTATATATCTTGTAAGCTTTCAAATTCTTCTCTTAACTTGATAACATTTCTTATGATGTTTCCAATTGTGGTTTTCTTTCATTTATTGTGCTAGGCATTCTGGAGCACTTTCCTTCTGGAAAATTATTTCCTTCACTTCAGGGAAACCTAATCTATTTTAAAATAATATCAATATTCAGGTTTTCTGGAACTCCTATTAGATGTTGGAAAGCTGGGTGCAATTCTCTAATTTTGTTATTGTGTCTTTGTTATTTTCTATCTTGTTTTACATTTTAGTTTACTTTCCTGGATTTCTCAACTTGAACTGCCATCCCTGCTTTTGATTTTTAAAAATTGTGGCTGGGCATGGTGGCTCACGCCTGTAATCCCAGCACTTTGGGAAGCTGAGGCGGGCAGATCACCAGAGGTCAGGAGTTCAAGACCAGCCTGGCCAACATGGTGAAAACCCATCTCTACTAAAAATATAAAAATTAGCCGGGCATGGTGGCAAATGCCTGTAATCCCAGCTACTCAGGAGGCTGAGGCAGGAGAATCGCTTGAACCCGGGAGGCGGAGGTTGCAGTGAGCCGAGATCATGCCATCGCACTCCAGCCAGCAAGATATCCCCTCAAAAAAAAAAAAAAATTCTATCCATAATATCTTTCATTTTCAGAAGATCTTTTTTTGTTCTAGAACAGTTTCCAGTTTTAAAAATAGCTTTTTTTTTTAGGGCTTTAGGTTCATGGCAAAATTGAGCAGAAGGTAAAGAAATTTCCCATATGCCCCTCTGCTCCCACACATGCACAGCCACTAGCAACATTCTCCAACAAAGTAGTACATTTGTTGCAATTGACAAACCTACATTGATAGAGCATTATCATCCAAAGTTCATAGTTTACATTGGGGTTCACTCTTGGTATTGTACAAGCTGTGGGTTTGGACAAATGTATAATGATATCAATTTATTATTATAGTATTATAAAAAGTATTTTCATTCCCATAAATATTCCCTGTGCTTTACCTATTCATCCTTTCCTATGCCCTAACCCCTGACAACCACTGAAATTTGTACCGTCTCACTAGTTTTGTTGGTTGACTTCAAAAGCTGAGCTTCTAGGGATTTTGTTGGATAAATTAACTAGCTTAGTTTTGGTATCCTCTGCAATTAATGCAGGCTTTAACTTTCTGTATTCTGATATGTCAGTTATCACTCTTCCATCTATTTTTTTCTGCTCTCAAATATTTGTCGAAATAATTCCGCTCACTATTGCCTCTTCTCTCATTCTCTATGTTATGGGTTGATAACATTTTCGTTTCTCAATTGTCATTTGGGTATAATTTTGGAAGGGTTAAAAATATAAATGTATGGTAATCCTATATGTAATTTAAAAGTCTTATTTAATTTTTTAAACAATGACAAAGAAATTTATTGAGGAACTCTAGTGTCAGCCTTTAAAATAATGAAATGATCAACTCATCACACCTATGAAGGAGGTATGATTGTCCCTTCGACGCTTGAGAGAATGACATTCAGAGAGGTTAAATAGGTTTTCTAGAGTCTTATTCACTTACCAGGTGGCAAAGCAAAAATTTAAGTTCAGACCAGTCTGATTCTGAAGGCCATGCTAAGACTAATATAGCTTAGTACATTGAGTATCTGACACACCACAAGTTCTCAATGATGGCAACTATTGAGGATGTGAACTCACAAGCATAGTATTCTATGTTTTAGATAGATTTTATTTCTAGGATGAGTAGGGTAATAAGATTGTCCTTATACACAGCACATAATTTAGGTCTAAGAATGCTAAGAATATATGCTAAGAATGCTACCTATATATAAGTGTGTATATATACTTACATATATATACCTCCAGAACTGTAAGATAAGTTTTTGTGTTATTTAGACAGTAATTTGTGATAATTTGTTACAGTAGCAATAAGAAATGAATGCACTTATTAAATAAAGCTCTCCCTGTCTTGCACGTGCTCTTTCTCTCTCTCTGTCTCTGTCTCTCTCTCTGTGTGTGTGTGTGTGTGTGTGTGTGTATGTATGTGTGTGTGTAACTTACCAGATGAAAAGGGTGGTTAATACTTACTTGGGAGCATATGCAGAAAGGAATATGAATGGTGAAATAGTAACCACAGAGGTGGAAGGCGTCTTGGAAAGGAAGGAATAATTGGAACTGCAAACGCACTGCTTTGTGGTCAGGGTGGGAGGGAATCCATGTTCATCTCGGACTCAGACAGGACAGTGACTCTTCTTGTCCCAAGAAGTTTTAAATGCCCCTAATTTTGCTACCATAAGCAGAGTGCACAGGCCCTGTCACAGGACACTCAAGCTACAGAGAAGAACTGAAGCACTTAAGACATAAGCAAAATCCAATTCTAGTGGAATGAGAGAGTTAGGACCTGGTGTTGTTCTTTGTTTATGGGAAGGAACAAATCTTCATAGTGTCACCTGATGAACACTGTTTCTAAAGTGACTCTTATCCATCACAGGAGTTGGGACTGGAAGTTAGGTGGGAGGAGATCACAGGTAGCACCAGTAGGGAAGTGAGACACTAGGGGGGAAAAGCAGCTATAGTTTGAATGTCCCTGCCAAAACTCACATTGAAATTTAGGCTGGGTGAAGTGGCTCACACCTGTAATCCCACCACTTTGGGAGGCTGAGGCAGGAGGATCATTTGAGGCCAGGAGTTAAAGATCAGCCTGGGCAACATAGTGAGACTACCATCTCTACAAAACATTTAAAAGAAAATAGTGAGATGTGGTGGCTCACACCTATAGCCTCAGCTACTCAGGAAGTTGAGGCAGGAGGATCCCTTGAGCCCAGGAGTTTAAGACTGCAATGAGCTCTGATTGTGCCACTGTACTCCAGCCTGGGTAAGAGAGAAAGACCCTGTCTCTAAAAAAAAAAAATAAATAAAAATAAATAAATAAAAAAAGAAATTTGCCATTTGTAACAGTATTAAGAGGTGGAGTCTTAAAGAGGTGGTATTGGGTCATGAGGGCTCTGCTCTCATAAATGGATTAATGCTGTTATCATAGGAGTGGGTTAGTTATCTTGGTAAAAGGATCAGTTCACTCCTCCCCATTTGTTCTCTGTCTCTGGTGCTCACTTCTGCCTCTTGCCTTCCACATAGATTGACCCTTGCCAGACGTCAGCATCATGCTCTTGAACTTCCTAGCCTCCAGAACTGTGTGAAATACATTTCTTTTTTAAAAAATAAATTACTCAGTATATGGTATTCTGTTATAGCAGCAGAAAATGGATGTAGACAGAAGCCAATATTCTAATGAGAAGATTACCACCATGAGAAAGTGGAGCTTAGGCCTGCTGGAGATTTCTAAGAGTCAGTGCGGGACAAATCTCACAACTGTCTCTCTGATGAGTGAAGAAGCTGTGATACTTATTCATGAGCTCCCCTTTGCAGTGGTTGGGTGTTGTTATAGGCACTTCAACTTTCTGCCATCTGTGGACTCACCTATGCATTGGCTGAACATTCACTGGCAAGTATGTAAAGCCTTCTGTAAAGATCTACAGATGCTTGAAGTAAGAAGCCTTCAACAGGTATGGAGCCTATTGACACTATTTCAAAGATAGAGAAAGAAGGAATCCTCCCTAAATCATCCTATGAAGCCAGTATCACCATATTACCAAAACTGGGAAAGGACATAACAACAAAAAAAGAAACTACCTTCCAGAACTGCCAGATGCTGACATCTGGCAAGGGTCAATCTATGTGGAAGGCAAGAGGATAAACATAGATGCAAAAATCCTCAACAAAATACTAGCTAATCGAATCCAACAGCATATCAAGAAGATAATCCGCCATGATGAAGTGGGTTTCATACCAGTGATGCAGGGATGGTTTAACAACACAAGTCAATAAATGTGAAATACCACATAAAGAATAAAAAAAAACACATGATCATCTCAATATATGAAGAAAAAACATTTGACAAAATCCAGCATCTCTTTATAACAACTCTCAGCAAAATCAGCATAGACAGGATGTACCTTAATGTAATAAATGCCATCTATGACAAACCCACAGCCAACATAATACTGAATGAGGAAAAGTTGAAAGCATTCCCCCTGAGAACTGGAACAAGACAACAATGCTCACTTTCACCATTTCTATTCAAAATAGTACTGGATGTCCTAGCTAGAACAATCAGACAAGAGAAAGAAAGAAAGGGCATCCGAACTGGAAAAGAAGTCAAACTGTAGCTGTTCACTGATGACATGATCATATACCTAGAAAACCCTAAAGGCTCACCCAAAAAGCTCCTAGAACTGGTAAATGAATTCAGCAACATTTCAGGATACAAAATTAATGTACACAAATCAGTAACTTTGTTATACACCAATGGCAACCAAGCTGAGAGTCAAATCAAGAACTCAATCTTTTTTACAATAGTCGAAAAAAACAAAATACTTAGGAATATACTTAACCAAGGAGGTGAAAGACTCTCTACAAATTAAACTACAAGACACTGCTGAAAAAAATTATAGATGACACAAACAAATGGAAACATATTCCATGCTCATGGATAGATAGAATCAATAGTGTGAAAATGACCATACTGCCAAAATCAACTTACAAATTCAATTCAATTCCCATCGAAATACCACGATCATTCTTCACAGAACTAGAAAAAAAATCCTAAAATTCATATGGAACCAAGAAGGGCCCAAAGGAAGATGAAGCAAAAAGAACAAATCTGGAGGCATTACATTATCCAACTTCAAACTATACTAGTCACCAAAACAGCATGGAACTGGTATAAAAATAGGCACATAGACCAATGGAACAGAATAGAGAACCCAGAAATCAACCCAAATACTTACAGCCAACTTATCTTCGAGAAAGCAAACAAAAACATAAAATGGGGAAAGGACACCCTGTTCAACAAATGGTGCTGGGATAACTGGCAAGCCACATGTGGAAGAATAAACCTGGATCCTCATCTCTCACGTTATGCAAAAATCAACTCAAGATGGATTAAAGACTTAAATTCAAGACTTGAAACCATAATAATTCTGGAAGATACCATTGGAAAACTTCTAAACATTGGCTTAGGCAAAGACTTCATGACCAAGAACTCAAAAACAAATCCAACAAAACCAAAGATAAATACATGGGACTTAATTAAACTAAAAAGCTTCTGCACGGCAAAAGAAATAATCAGCAGAGTTAACAGGCAACCCATAGAGTGGGAGAAACTCTTCACAATCTTTACATCTGACAAAGGGCTAATATCTAGAATCTACAATGAACTCAAGCAAATCAGCAAAACCAAAAAAACCCAAAAAATCGGATCAAAAAGTGAGCTAAGGACATGACTAGACAATTTGCAAAAGATGTACAAATGGCTGATGAACATATGAAAAAATACTCAACATCCTTAATTATCAGAGAAATACAAATAAAAATCACAGTGTGAAAAAGTCTTACTCCTGCAAGAATGGACATAATCAAAAAATTAAAAAACAATAGATTTTGATGTGCATGTGGTGAAAAGGGAACACTTTTACACTGTTGGTGGGTATATAAACTAGTACAACCACTATGGAAAACAATGTGGAGATTCTTTAAGGAACTAAAAGTGGATGTACCATTTGATTCAGCAATTCCACTACTGGGTATCTACCCAGAGGCAAAGGAGTCATTATACAAAAAAGATACTTGCATACGCATGTTTATAGCAACACAATTCGTAATTGCAAAAATATGGAACCAGCCCAAATGCCCATCAATCAATGAGTGGATAAAGAAACTGTGGTATACATATACCATGGCATACTACTCAGCCATAAAAAACAGTAAAATAATGGTATTCACAGCAACCTGGATGGAATTGAAGACCATTATTCTAAGTGAAGTAACTCAAGAATGGAAAACCAAACAATGAATGTTCTCACTCGTAAGTGGCAGCAAAGCTGTGAGGACATAAAGGCATAAGAATGATATGTGACGGACTTTGGGGACTTGGGGGGAAAGGTGGGAGGGGGTTGAGGGATAAAAGACTACACATTGGGTTCAGACTACACACTGCTCAGGAGATAGGTATGCCAAAATCTCAGAAATCACCAATAAAGAACTTATTCGTGTAATAAAATGCCATCTGTTTCTCAAAAACCTATTGAAAATAAATAAATAAAACTACACTCAAGTAATATCTTGGGTAACAGAGCATATCACAGATAAACTGAAAGCCCAGTGCCTGTTTAACTGAATTTTTCAACAAGCTAAAAGACAAAACAAAACAAAACAGGCATGGAAATGGTGGAAGTCAAGAATTTATATTCTTCTATGATAGCAGAGTACACCATGGTTTAGAGAATATGGAATGTATGGCTTAAGAGTCCGTGATTACATAGAATTGCATCAGCAAGATCTAGAAAAAGAAAAATTAGACTGGCTAGAATGGAAACGATTTTTATTGGCCACACTGATTAATAGTTACTAATTTCCTGGAGAAGAGGGATTTGGAGTTGACATTAAAAAATTTACGTTCTTTTTGCATAGCACATCTATATTTATATAGTAATCTGCGTGGATACGTATATGAAGACTCCAGTGTGAGTATTGCAGCCAATATATCAGGTACTCAAAGGAGCCAAACAAGATAAATAACACTAATTGTACATCCAACAAGGTTTATTGTGTTATGGATGTGTACCACAATACATTTTACTTTCTTTTTCTAAAAACAAAACAAAAAAATCAAAGTCCCAGTAGGCACAGTTCCCAATGTATGTAAATTGCAGAAGCACAACATGTGGTTGAGGATCCAGGTCAAGGAACTGGTCTTACCCTTTTTCATCCCCTGTAGGCAGAACAGTTGGGAGTATCATCTACATGCACTAAGAACTATCATTTAAAGTAATAGCAATCTCAGATTACACAAGTTCACAGCGGGCTTAACTAACCATGGCAGATGTAATGGCTCAGAAATAAACACTGTAAAAATAAATCAAAAAGCAAACATTTGGATATATTTCTGTTCTTAACTTACATTTGAAGACTATAGTCAATTATAAACTGAGATCTAGCAAAATGTAGATTAAAAACTTTCTTTTTATATGTTATATTCTTTGATCTTTTACAAAGGGACATTAAAAAGAAAAAGAAAAACTAAAACTCTAGCATTAGAACAAGATGAGGGTTCAAATGCTTTTGTTCTAACATCTATTAGGTTTGATCTTGACCAAGTTATTTGAGTCTCAATTCTTTCATCTGTCAAATATGGATGATGCCTTCCCCAAGTAGTTTTAGTGAGGAGAAACTGGATTAATACATAGTCTTTTCATTGTAGATTTTGAATTGAATGTTCACCCCCATTTCTCCTTATTTACTCTTGGGCTTTCTCAAGTAGAAGGGGTATTTACATTATTGTAATTAAGTTCAAAATTATTTACTGATACTCTTTTGAGTTCTAGTTACTGTACTAGCTACTGTTGACACCAAAAGAAAATAGAACACAGATTCTGTCTTTGAGTAGCTCAAAATCTGGTGTAGGTATAGACTAAATCAATTCAGTACCTTGTGCTATATGCTATAAGAAATAAAAGGGAAAAGAGGAAGCTCAAGAAGATGAAAAGTTATATTTGAACTGTGCTTTAAGAATAAATACAGTTCATCATTTTATAGGAGGAGAGAGTTAGGGTACTATAAGCAGAAGGATCTAGTATGAATTATGTTTCAAGTGCTTTTACATGTGGCAGCCTGAATAACATACAGAACAAACAGTTGTTACAGGTTTTGGGAAGTTTACCTTCATAAACTATATCCTGAATCCTTTTGTAGAAAAATCAGCACTTGGTTTTCATAACTGTTATATGGCTGACTTGACTGATCTTTTTGCTGAATATTATTTTGAATGTACTTCAATTATATAGAGAATGCAACATGTCAGAGATACATTTTCAAACAAGTTTAACCACCTAGAATTAGCCACGAAACAGGAAATGGTGAAAAACTTCTAGATAGTCTCTTCATAGAAGAAGAGCTATGACAGATCCCATAGGCTGATTTTAAATTTATTTTTAATTATAGAAAGTATACCGGTAAATTTATAATGAATAAGTATATAGAGAAAAAATAAAAGTTGAGGTTTTTGGCTAAAGCATAAAACATTCCACACACACACATTTTAACCCATGCTCCCTGTATTAGTCAGGCTTATCTAGGGGGACAGAACTAGAGTTTATTAAGTGTATTAAGTAGTATTAACTCACATGATCACAAAGTCCCTCAGTAGACTGGAAACTGAGGAGCAAGGAAATCAGTCCAAGTCCCAAAGCTGAAGAACTTGGAGTCCGATGTTCGAGGGCAGGAAGCATCCAGCACGAGAGAAAGATGTAGGCTGGGAGGCTAAGCCGGTCTAGCCTTTTCAGGTTTTTCTGCCTGCTTTGTATTTGCTGGCAGCTGATTAGATGGTGCCCACTCAGATTAAGGGTGGGTCTGCCTTCCCCAGCCCACTGACTCAAATGTTAATCTCCTTTGGCAACACCCTCACAGACACACCGAGGATCAATACTTTGCATCCTTCAATCCAATCAAGCTGACACTCAGTATTAAGCATCACAAATCCATCCCTTGTCAACTTGAACCCATGGACATCTCCTGAGATCATACATAATCTTCAAATAAAGACAATAATAAGGTCATAATTACACATAACATAATACAACTATCCTTCTTACAACTAGTAATGCACCAATCGCCAACCCAAATGCTATAACATAATGTTATATGTTATAGCATAATAAATCTTATGTCAATAAATCAATAAATCTTATGTCACATAATAAAGGAAAAAGGAAATATAATGAAGATATTTTCTTAGTACAAGTGTATATACATGCACAAACATGTTTTTAACACAAGAAGGAGGAAATACTCATGACAATTATAGTCCTCGTTTCTGCAACTGGTCACAAGCTGGTATTGATGACTACGTTTTTCTACTACCCATTCTGTATTCCATTTGCCTTCAGCAAGCACCTCAGCAGGTTGTGGTTTTTTCCTGGTGGAGTGACCCAAACGTTCATTTCTGAAGGGTCTGGGCCATTTGTAGACCTGTCTGGATTGAGCTGTTATAGTTTCCCATTATGTTAATCACAGGGCATGGTAATACTAAGAGACGCCCTAATGGATCTTCTGTATTCCATGCACACTCTTCCTTCCCTCCATTGTGCAGTGGTAGACTGATTTCATCTTGATGATTCGGGTCAATGACCCCAGCCAACACTGTAACTCCTTTCTTAGCCTGTTGACTTAAAGGTAGGAGGAGCCCAAAGTGTCCAGGTGGCAATCTTAACTTCCAGTTTAATGGAATTGTTGTTGTATCTCTTGGTGGCAGCATTCCTCCCTCTGGAACTAAGACCTCTAGGCCAGCAGAATTTAATTTTATAGGAACAGGAAGCAAAAATTTTGCTAGTGGATCACTAGGGGTGATGGTGAGTGGTGCCACTTCCACTTCTACCATTTGATTCCTTGACCCATAAATCCTGGCTATGGGAGAAACAGTAACGTATATTGGATGCTGCTTCAGACCATACACAGTCTTTGGGAGAAGTTGGCTCCAGCCATGCAAAGTATTGTCACCTAGTTGGCATTATAATTGTGACTTCAGAAGGCCAGTCCACTGTTCTATCAATCCAGCTTCTTCAGGATGATGGGGAACATGGTAAGACCAATGAATTCCATGAGCATGAGCCCACTGCTACGTCTTTAGCATAAAGTGAGCACTTTGGTCAGAGGCAATGCTGTGTGGAATACCATGACAGTGGATAAGGCATTCCATGAGTCCACAGATGGTAGTCTTGGCAGAAGCATTGTGTGTGGAATAGACAAACCCATATCCGGAGTAAGTGTCTATTCCAGTGAGGACACACCTCTGCCCTTTCCGTGATGAAAGAGATCTAATATAATCAACCTGCCACCAGGTAGCTGCCTGATCACCCCAAGGAATGGTGCCATATTGAGGGCTCATTGTTGGTCTCTGCTGCTGGCAAATTGGGCACTTAGCAGTGGCTGTAGCCAGGTCAGCCTTGGTGAGGGGAAGTCCATGTTGCTGAGCCATGCATAACCTCCATCCCTGCCACCATGGCCACTTTGTTCATGGGCCCATTGGGCAATGACAGGGGTGTCTGGGGAAAGAGGCTGAGTGGTGTGCATGGAATGGGTCATTCTATCCCCTTGATTATCAAAATTCTCCTTTGCTGAGGTTACTCAGTGATCACTCACATTGGATACAAGTATCTTCACAGTTTTTGACCACTCAGAGAGGTCCATCCACATACTTCTTCCTCAAATTTCTTTGTCACCAATTTTCCAATTATGCTTCTTCCAAGTCTCTGATCGTCCAGCCAAATCATTGGCTACAGCCCATGAAACAGTATATAATTGCATATCTGGCCATTTCTTCTTCCATGCAAAGTGCACCACTAGGTGCACTCCTCAAAGTTCTGCCCACTGGGAAGATTTCCCTTCACCTCTGTCCTTCAGGGATGTTCTAGAAAGGGGCTGTAGTGCTGCAGCTGTCCACTTTCGGGTGGTGTCTGCATATTGTGCAGAACCATCTGTGAACCAGGTCCTAGTCTTCTCTTCCTCTGTCAGCTGATCATAGGGAACTCCCCATGAGGCCATCAGTGCAGGTTGGGGGAGAGAAGGCAGGGTGGCAAGAGTGGAGACCATGGGCATTTGAGCCACTTCCTCGTGTAACTTACTTGTGCCTTCAGGACCTGCTTGAGCCCAATCACATATATACCACTTTCATTTGGTGATGGAATGCTGCTGTGCATGACCCACTTTATGGCTAGATGGGTCCGAAAGCATGCAGTTCATTATAGGTAGTTCAGGTCGCGTGGTGACTTGATAACCCATAGTCAAATGTTCATTTTCTACCAAACCCCAGTAACAGTCCAAAAGCTGTCTCTCAAAAGGAGAGTAGTTATCTGCAGAAGATGGCAGGGGCTTGCTCCATAATTCTAGAGCCCTCCACTGTGACTAATCAATGGGGGCCTACCAAAAACTCCAAATGGCATCCCTATCTGCCACTGACACCTCAAGCATCATTGGATCTGCTGGGTCATACGGCCCAAGTGGCAGAGCGGCTTGCACAGCAGCCTGGACCTGTTGCAGAGCCTTCTTCTGTTTTGGACTCCACTCAAAGCTGGTAGCCTTTCGGGTTACTAGATAAATGGGTCAGAGTAACACAACCAAATGAGAAATGTGTTGCCTCCAAAATCCAGATAGGTCCACCAGGCATTGTGCCTTTTTTTTGGTTGCAGGAGGGGCCAAATGCAGCAACTTATTCTTCACTGCAGAAGGAATATCTCGACAAGCCCCACACGATTTGACCCCTAGAAATTTTACTGAGGTAGAAGGTCCCTGAATTTTAGTTGGATTTATTTCCCATCCTCTGGCATGCAAATGCCTCATAAATAAGTTCAGTGTGTCTTCTACTTCTTCCTCACTGGATCCAATCAGCATAATGTCATCAATGTAATGGACCAGTGTGATATCTTGTGGAAGGGAAAAGTGATCAAGGTCTTTCCAAATAAGATTATGACACAAAGCCTGAGAGTTGATATACCCCTGGGGTAGGAGAGTAAAGGTATATTGCTGGTCTTGCCAGCTGAAGGCAAATTGCTTCTGGTGGGCCTTATGGACAGGAATGGAGAAAAAGACATTTGCCAAGTCAAGGGCTGCATAACAGGTACTAGGAGATGTGTTAATTTACTCAAGCAATGAAACCACATCTTGTACAGAAGCTGCAATTGGAGTCACCACTTGGTTAAGCTTAATCCACTGTCATTCTTTAAGATCCATCTGTCTTCTGCACAGGCCAAATAGGAGAGTTGAATGGGGATGTGGTGGGAATAACCACTCCTGCATCTTTTAAGTCCTCGAGGCATGCAATATTGTTTTTGATTCACTATTTTTCTATGTAGAGGCAGCTCTAATGGCTTCCATTTGGCCTTTCCCACCATAATAGCCCTCACCTTGCCAGTCAGAGAGCTAATGTTGGGGTTCTGCCAGCTGCTAAGTATGTCTATGCTGATTATGCATTCTGGCACTGGGGAAATGACCACAGAATGAGTCTGGGGACCCCCTGGACCCACTGTAAGTCGGACCTGAGCTAAAACTCTATTAATTACCTAACCTCCATAAGCACCTACTTTAACTGGAGGGCCACAATGACATTTTAGGTACCCTGGAATCAACATCAGCTCAGAGCCAGCATCCAGTAGTCCCCAAAATGTCTGATCATTTTCCTTTCCCCATTGTTCAGTTACCCTGGTAAAAAAGGCTGGAGGTTTCCTTGGGGAAGGAAGGGAAAAAGATTAACAGGATAAATTGTCAGTAGTTTAGTGGGGTCCTTCTTCAAGGGGACCCAGTCTCCCCTTCACTCAAGGCATTCTGGGTCTGTACACTGGCTCAAGTCTGGAAATTGATTGAGGGGCCATAGTTCTCTGTTTTTATAATTCAAATTAGTCTCTTGTCCATTGGACCTAGGAGTTTTCTGCTTATATAAATTAAGTAGGAATGCAGTAGGCTTCCTATCAATTTCATTTCTAGGAAGACCATGATTAATTAGCCAATGCCAGAGCTCTACATGAGTCAGACTATCCTGATTGCCACTTTGCCTCTGCTGTCCATTACAGTAGCTACACCCACCTTGCCTTTCATGGGTGAGTGCTACCACTTGGCCTCTGCCACCTTAGGATCCAATTATTCCCATTGTGTTTAAATTTTGTAGTTGAGTGACTGTGGTTCTCACTGTTAGATCTGAAATACAGAGAAGAGCAGTTACAGGGCTCTTCAGAGATACAGAGGCTGCCCTCACAAATCTATTCTCAAGATATTGGTCAAGGATATATCTTCTGGACCCTTCCAGCTGGGATGAGTAGGTCTAAAGTGACTAATCCATTTCACCATCCCAATCTCCCTAAGCCTTTTGATCCTTTCCTCCACATTAAACCAAGGGAGATCAGGCATTTCCATCTCGCTTACAGTGGGACATCTTTTAATCCATTTTCAGCTAACCAAGCAAATAAATTATTAGAACCTTTTTTAACTCCCCGAGCTGCAACATTAAATGCAGAGTCCATACTTAATGGGGCCAAATCAATAAATTCGGCCTGATCCAACTCTATTTCCTTCCACCATTATCTCACACCCTTAATATCCATTCCCATGCCTGTTCTCTAGATTTCTGTTTATATGAATTAGAAAATTCAAGCAGTTCTTTTTGAGTGTAGTGCACCTCCTCATGGATCACACTCTGAACCTCACCTCTAGGGGCCTGCTGGCACTTCAGTCATAGGTCTAGAAGCAAACAGAGGTGTCGTTTGCTGAGGAGAATCACCATTATCTTTCCAGGCAACCGCCTCAGGCGAGGCAATCACTGCTGCCTCAGGCACCACAGGGTTTATCTCTTTAGACAAAGGTGGAAGGCTAAATGGCAGCATGGGTTGCGGAGGGGATGTTGCCATTACTGGGAATAGGGAAGCTGTTTCTTCTGGAAAGAAAGGTTCAACAGAGTTTACAAGCTCAGTGTCTCCAGCTCCATCAGGGTCCTCCCAAACATCCCTATTCCAAGTTGCAGGGTCCCATTCTTTTTCAGTTAATGCTGTCACTTTAACAGTAGACACCTGGTGAAGCTGTGCATGCACCTTTTGTTGCAGGTCAGCCACTCACATGATAAGAGCTTGTGTCTGATTTTCCACAATTTCAGCCCTTTTTCTGCAGGAGATAAGACTCTGACTCAGGGCAGTCTCAGAAGATTTGAGGCTCAGTCTCTGCTTCTGAACCTGGGAGTTAGAATCCCTGAGTTCATCATTTTCTTTCATCACTTTGTCCAGTGAACTTAGGAGCAGCCAACCAGCTTTGTTTTGTTACTTAGTTCTCCACATATGGTCAAAGGTATTATGTATAGAGTCAGTAAACTCCTTGCCTCTCATGAGAGGTGAGTCAGGAGTGTCAAATGCATTTATTTTGCATAACTCTCTAAAACAGTTCATGCCAGGGACTGTCAGTGTTCTCTATACTATTAGAAGTAGAGTCCTTAGCATTTTGGTGTCTGATCATATTAAGCAGCCAACTCCAGAAACCCCTAAATCAACTACAGAACTCCATCCTTAATATTCTGTTCTCTCTAGAACCACTCCTGGTACCAAAACCTCTATTTTTCAGGGTTCTCTAGGGGGACAGACTAATAGGATATGTGTGTGTGTGAGTGTGTGTGTGTGTGTGTGTGTGTATTATATTTATATAAAGGGGAGTTTATTAAGAAGTATTAACTCACACTATCACAAGGTCCCACAGTAGGACATTTGGAGAAATGTCTCCTAGCATGGGAGAAAGATGTAGGCTGGGAGTCTAAGCCAGTCTAGCCTTTTCACGTTTTTCTGCTTGCTTTATATTCACTGGCAGTTGATTAGATGGTGCCCACCCAGATTAAGGATGGGTCTGCTTTCTTCAGCCCACTGACTCAAATGTTAATCTTCTTTGGCAACACCCTCACAGACACACTTAGGATCAATACTTTGCATCCTTCAGTCCAATCAAGTTGACACTATTAACCATCACAATCCCTTTTAAAACCCCAATAAAAGGACAGTAAAGTGATTTTTTAAAGCCACACATCTACAATGGCAAGAAAAACAATATAAGAGATAACAACATAGTAGCTAGATGAAAGTTAAACGTCAACAGACTGAATGAAGTTGAAATCTAAACTGGGTAAGGAGTGAAGCCCAGTGGCAAAGCAGCTTAGACCACATGGAGACATGAAGCATCTTTGAAACTGGGAATGCAAGTAGGACTGAAAAGCAGGAATATTATTATTAGAAAAGCTATTGAAGAAACAGATTCCCAGATTTCCTCCTTCGGCCCTGAATCTAAGGTACCTACTCCTCCCTTCCCCTCAGTGAAGGCAGGTAGATTTTCTGGAGAGATGAGATCAATGAAATTCTGGGTTTAAGCACCTGCCCTGTAAATTTCCGGGTGGAGGGAGGAAGGTGGGATGGGTGTGTGAGTGGGGGTGGGGACCAGAGACTGGTAAATGTTTTAAAAATATTTTTTAAACCTTGTAGAATTGTTTGATTACTTTAACACATAAAGAAGTGTAGAAAAGTTTAAAAGAGAAATTTCCTCTCTTCTTACTGCTTGACAATTAGGAAATTTTCTCAGGCCCTGACACAGAATCATTTTATTTTGGGTACATATGGATAGATATTACAATGTAATTTTTATCTGTGTATTACTTCAGTATTCTGGAGTAAATGAAAAGATTAGTATAACAAAAATAATATACATAAAGCAATTTTTTTCTTCTTGCTATTTCATTTTTTTACCATTTTCTTCAAAAGATATCAAAATAAGCCAAATTCAATTTATTGCAAACACTTTTCTGGTTTTAGGTGTCAAAGTCTTATAATAAAATTAGGGCTTTTAACTTTCATCCTATCTCTGGTTCAACTTCCTGCTAACCTTAATGACTGATCCTCAATTTTCTGTCAAACGTAAAGAAGATTTGCATCTTATTCAGTCAAACATGTAACAGTGTTGACTAAGGGCCTGTATTAGTCTGTTTGCATTGCCCTAAAGGAATACCTGAAACTGAGCAATTCATAAAGAAAAGAGGTTTATTTGGCTCATGGTTCTGTAGGCTGTACGGGCATGGCACCAGCATCTGCTTGGCTTTTGGTGAGGCTTCAGGGAGCTGTTATTCATGGCAGAAGGCAAAGGGAGGGTAGACATGTCACATGGCAAAAGAGGAAGCAAGAGAGACAGAGGGAAGTCCCAGTCTCTTTGTAACAACCATATCTTGCATTAATTCATTACTGCAGGGAGGGCACAAAGCCCTTCACGAGAGATCCATCTCCATGATCCAAACACCTCCCACTAGGACCCACCTCCAACATGAGGATCACATTTCAACATGAGATTTGGAAGGAACAAATATCCAAACCATATCAGGGCCCAACAATGAGCTTAGCAGTGAGTGGGACTCTATCTCTGCAAATGATGGCATCTTTTCTTGGTGACACTGGGACTACATATAAAGCATTTTCTTATTACCAAGGTGTTTCTTATGTCTGAAACACACCACAGGTATTAATCATATGACTAAAAATAACCTGATAATTTTATTAATCCAAAATTTTTCCTTCCAAATGACTGTTACTGTTTCAAAGTATTCAGGTTGGAAAAATAGATACTAAATAGAGCAACATGTTTTAGAATTCTTCCTTTGACTTTCCTTTGGAACATGAAACATGGTTTTTATCCCTACCTTTGGAATAGATCAAGATCATTTGAAATCATGTTCAGTAAATAAGTTAGATAAGAAAGTCAATAAATTCCATTTTGAGAAATAAAGTCAAGGAGGGTCAATGTAGTTTGTGACTGCTGAACAATTCCAACAGGAGCAAAAATTTCTTTCTAGGTAACTATTTTGAAAGAGATTACCCATTGAATATATAGATTTTAACAGCTAAAACAGCTCATAGCTAAACACTCACATAATTTATACCTTACAGCTGAATTGCATTTTAATTTAATGCTTTTTTTAATGTGTATTTCTAGCCATAGCAGCTTCATTTATCTCAATTTGTCAACAACTATGAGGTTATTTTGTAAATTTAGTGTAGTATCATAATAAATCAGGTAATTAAAATACTTTTTTGTTGTAGATGATGAATTTAATAATGGAGATAATGTACATGCATTCAGAGATTATTGGAGTTCAGCAGTAAGCAAAAACCCAACATATCTTCATAATATGGAGACAAGAGCACCGTTAGAGTTCTGGAGATTACAGCAATGATGGGGTTGTTGGAGAGGTAGTTATAAAGCAGGAAGTTGATAAGGATTTATAAAATCGTGGAATGTGGGTCTTTCAGATGTTTTAGTGAAATTCCTTCATTTTACAGAAAACTAAACTGAGGCTCAGAAAGGTGATATTTCTAAAACAAATGGAAGAGTGGGATTCAAATTCCAGGATTTGGGGCTTAATGATTGCAGCTTTCTTTTATTTCTTTATGGTCTCTTCCTGTTCCAAACTTCAGGCTATCTTTGAGGTAGGCAGTCTGTCTCTAATGCTCTCTTCCTAACTTCTCATCTCTCTTCTGTTTTATCCTTCCTTCTCCAAGCCTCTGTGCTAAAATTTCCCCTTCAAATTTATTTTGTCTAAACTCCAAGTTATTTTATATTAAAGGGGAAGATTCTGAAGACCTCCAACCTATACTGGCATAAACCTGCCATAGAACGAGGTAAAAAAAGCTAAGAGCTACTTGTTTTCACACTAACCTCTATCCAAGACACCTCTACCAGAGAAGTTTCTAGCAATTCATTTTTCGGAAAGAACTTCCCAGTTCCTTGGTATAATGAAACTGTCCTAAAAAATTTAGAAGGTAAGTAATCAGATCGTTTCTCTCCTCCTATCAGGAGGATTCCTTATGCCATTTGGATCATGGTTTTTTATTGCCTGATTACAGTAATGGGTGGAGAAGTGAACTGGAGGAAGCCCAGCAAACCCACATTAATTTCAATATGAGCCTACATGTGGAAGCAAAGGAAAGCTCTTGAAGGCAAGAGGAGGGAAGCCAGACAAAGAAGATGCAGAAGTTAAGCTAAGAGAGTTTGGAAGAATTTTGAGGTGTGGGTAAAAAAGTTTTAACAGCTACGTCCCAGAGTAAATATTCAGAGACGCAGATATGGGTAGAGGAGATATTAAGTTTCTTTGTGTGAATCATTATTAGATGTAATTCTCCTTTTTTTTTTACTTCTCCAAAAGACTTCTGTATAGGTATAGGGCTTTTCAAATCTTTGGGAAGTTGGCTTTTTGTTTCATCGGGTGCATTACCATGCTGAGATGGGCCTCTCAGTTGGAGCCAAAAGGCCCAGTTTCATCTGGAAAATATAACTGTATATTTTTGATGCACTCCCTGTTTCCCGTTAAGTGCCTAGCCAAATCTTTCACAATCTGCATTAATAGGAAAAATGGTTGTGTGGCAGGAAGCAAAAGTATGAGCTGGGAATTTAATTAATGCTTACAAACACTTGAGAGGAGGAAATGGTGACCAACATGCTAAGTGCTTCTACTGTCTTCTCTATTTTTGAAATGTTACAAATATTAACTATGACAAATGAAATCTGTTGACTCACTGGCTGATTAACAAGTCTAGTCCCTGACTTATGAAATTAAATTTTCCAATAGCACTTTTAAGACACTGTAATTAGTGGCTCATCCCATAATTTGGCTACTGTATTTATGAGATAGGTGAAGACAAGTCCTACATGCACTTACTATACAACTTCTATATGTATCTGGAACAATATTGGAAATATATAATGAACACTTTTTACCCTTCTTGATATCCTTTTTCTCACTGTAACTCCAAGCCCGCATCATCTCCTGGCCTGGTTTGTGACACTAATCCAGATGACTGTTTATATTTCACTGCAGCCTCTATTTTCAATCACAATAAAAACAGAAATGGCAGGATATTAGAGACAAAACTGATAGTGCTAAAAAAATTACAGTTTAACTTCTCATTTATCAATGTAATTGAAAGTTACTAGCGGGGTGTGTGGTGCCAGTGTTTCTATCAGGGCATGAGTAATCTGTTTATGCAGCATAATTCATCCTTCTGAGGTTCTAATGAGGACTGCTTAATTCAGGTTTTAATCAAACCTGACAAATTATCGTTGAATTGGCAATGGGCTTGTTCACAGGTGCCATTTCCCAGCAAGTCTGACATAGCTTAGATTCATCTCCTCCTCCACATGTTCTTTTCAGACATCACAGACAAAATTTAAAAGGTACTGGTTTTACTCACCACCAAAATGCTAAATGTTTCTGATTTTTTTTTTTTTTACTGTTTAGTGCCATTAGTAGCAGCTGTTTATATTTGTTACTTTTAAAAATGTGAAATATTGAAAAACAAAATGATTTTTTTACAAAAATATCTATTCTATTTTACAAAATACATGCGTTCCTGGAGAAGGTTCGTGTTCCAAATCTTGCTCTTATCCAATAATCCACTTGACTCAGACAAGAGCCATCTGCTAATGACTAGTAGGGGATGATGCACCAGCTCAGATACACTTAGCAGCTCCACAACGTGAAAGCTAACATCTTATTTCAAAAACAAAATCAGTCTCTTTCCAGCAGAGAGTACACAAGAGATGAGAGATTCATAATACATAGAGTGTTGTCGTCAATGACTGCCTGGAACCAGTGTAAAGTAAATTTATCTGGGTGGTAAAGGAATTTTACCAAGATAGATGTGGGGAAAGAAAGGCAGATTTATTAGAGAAAAGTGAGAGATACATTGCAAGAGAGCAATGGGCAATATAGCAGAAGGAAGGCTGTCTGCAAAGAGGCAGGGGCTGGAGGGAAGTTTTAAAAGGTCATGCTGCTTGGGCTGAATGCCTGCAAACAAGATGCTTGGGTGCAGGTGGGCCATGAACTGAATGCTTGCAACAGGATGCTTGGGTGCTAGTGAGCCATTTGCGGGTGACCCCATTTCTCAGAACATTTTCTCTCCTCCACCCCTGTTTCTGTTCCTGTCAGCTAAGCCTATTTTCAATTTTCTTTTAACTCCTTAGGGCTCCATAAAATGGTGGTTTAATGTATGGATTTTAATATACGCAAAGATGAATGACAGGGCCTGTAATCTTCACCACTACCATGTGATACGGGAAAGATGTTTAGTAAGTTAGCTCCATGCCCCAGAATAGAATTATGACCTCTAAAAAGAGTAAAGTGTACTCTGCTCACTTAATTTGCTCCATAAAAAGTTTCTGTAGAAAGTTAACTCTGTTAGTACATGTAGCCTTTTGCTTTCCAAATCCCATTCTTTTCTTTTTCCACACAATAAACATACAAAGCAGGTAACACACATAGCAGCACCCCATTTTACCATTAAACAAACGAGAGAGTAATTTATTTGCCCAAGGCCATGCAGTGAAAAGTCACGAAGTCTGACCTCACACCCAGTTTACATGGCTCCAAGACTGTGTTCTTTCCATTGCCGCACAATCTCTCATTGATGTTAGGGGAGATCAGCCTTTGATACAATGCGTGTTGTATCTAATATTATCCTCATCATGATCTAGGAAATAAAACTTTTTATTTAGACAGCTTGTAATTCTTTGAGAGGTTACAAATACTGGAAAATTCCTCAGGTCTTATTTCTAATTACAAGACATTTGCCACATATCAAGCCTGTCTTTCATCATAAACTATATCAAATGTAGGCACTTTTGACTTATAGGGATACTAAGTCCTAACTGTTTGCATAAAACACATTGCTCTAAAATCTGATGATTTTGTTTCCCTGCCAAGCATTATAGCAAATCTCTTCTCATTCTTTTGCTGTAACTTGTAGAAATATTTATCTGTGAGGGACCTAACAGAGCTCATAGAATAACATAGCTATGGAAAGCAAAAGAAACTGAGGACAGATGAGGTTAAGTATTAATATTTTATTTAAGGATAATCACTAGTCAGTGTTAGAGTCTCTCACTTTTTAGACCATCCGAGTTGATAACCATTGCCTCTGTGGATGCATTTAAAGGGTTATTTGTGGCCAGACACAGTTGCTCATGCCTGTAATCCCAGCACTTTGGGAGGCCGAGGTGGGAGGATTGCTTGATCCCAGGAATTTGAGATCAGCCTGGACAACATGGTGAGACCCCATCCCTATTAAAAAAAATAAAGAAATTAGCCAGGTGTGGCAACACATGCTTGTGGAGGCTGAGGTAGGAGCATCTCTTGAGCACAGGAGTTTGAGGTTGCCATGAATTTTGATTGCTACTGCACTCCAGCCTGAGCAAGAGTAAGATACTGTCTCAAAAAAAATTTAAAATAAATAAATAGAGGCCAGCACTGTTGCTTGCACCTGTAAACCTAGCACTTTGGGAGACTGAGATGGGTGGATCACTTGAGCTCAGGAGTTTGAGACCAGCCTGTGCAACGTGGTGAAAACCCATCTCTACTAAAATTAGAAAAATTAGCTGGGCATGGTAGGGGATGTCTGTATTCCCAGCTACATGGGAAGCTGAGGTGGGAGAATCACTTCAGCACAGGAGGCAGGGGTTGCAATGAGCTGAGATTGCACCACTGCTCTCCAGTCTGGGCAATAGAGCGAGATCCTGTTTCAAAAATAATAAATAAGTAAATAAATATTTACCAAAATTCTACTCTAGGCATTACTGAGGTTGTATTCAGAATTGAGCCACGGAGCTCTTCTGAATGGACTTGCTCCTTGAGCAGTGCTGGTCGAGAATCAGAGTCAGTTGGAGACTAAGCCAGGCTACGGTCTCACCTTCTGCACTGGCATATCCTTACCTGTTTAGCAGCATCATTTAGTAAAACTCTCTGGTCCTTTTTGTTTTAGGAAAAGTTGACTTCATTTTTATCAAGGTGACAGGTAGGATCTTAATAATCTTACTTCTAGACTATCAATACTGGACACAGGAGAAAATCTGAGTTGTTGTAACACTGAATTAACCTATATTTGTACTGTCCTATCACGAGTCTTCATAGTGAAAAACAGTTTTTTTTTTTTTTTTGCTTGTTTTAGTCTTTTTCCTCTAACTTGGAACAGTAGCAGACTAAGTATACACCTACAAAAGATCAAGAATATGGGTGGTATCATGAGTCCCACTTACAATTCTGGCTACTAGAAGACACTGAAAAATAACTTCAAAAGGATAAATGATTTCTTAACACAGAATTTTCCACCCAGTCAAACTATGATCAGTTTTTGGGTAAAATATTCATTTTTGCAGAGACAAGACTTCAAAATGTTCATCACTCACACAAACTTTATGGAATAAAAAGATGATTTGGCGACATAGCTCTGCAACATGAAAAAGGAATGGAAGTCAGCAAAAAGATCTGTTACAGAAACCAAAATGAAACACTAAAACCAAAGCAGTAGAAATTAAGTACCACCAGAAAAAGTAAAGGAAGTTGGAAATAAAATGAAAAAAGACTCGTTAAACATTATATTTTCAAAGACATTTAAGTGGCAAAATTTTAATAATATATAAGTTTGGAACAAAAGTGTACTTAGTACATACTTAAAAAACCATTATGTTATTAATATTTGAAAAATAGACTGGCTCTAATACATTACAGGAGAAAAATATTTTACAGTAAGAAAAAGTTAATGATACAGTTTTAATTTTTATTAATCTTTATTTTCTTATCATCATAAGGTCAAGGAATATAAAGCAAAACTTAAACACAAAAATAAACAAATCAATAATTTTAATGGGGGACTTTAATTCACAGCTCTTGAAAATTTACAGATGAAGGAAATAATAAGTAAGATAATAGAAGTTGTTTGAATAACACTATTACTATATTCAATATAATAGGTTTGTATATATAATTTTGTACCAACAAACAGAAGATATACAATTTTTAAATGTCCATGAAACATTCATAAACATCAAGCATGTTATTATGCTGTAAAGAATATCTGCTAATTCTAAATGAGATAAATTATACAAAACAAATTCTCTAACCACAAGCAATAAAATAGACATGAATGAAGAAAGAGGAAATTTTAAAATGACTATTAGTCCACCATAAAGGTAACCCTGGTTAATATACTTTTACATTTACCAGGTAATAAAACTCACCTAACTGAATTACACAATGCAAAAAAAGAAGTCTTCTTCACGTTTGTCTCAATACATGTATGTGTGTGTGTGTATTACTTTAATCCTAAAGTAATCACTAAGATTTTATTTATACAAAAAGTAGATTTATCCAGTGCCCTATTGATGGTATTTTTTTTTTCTATTGCAAACAAGGCTGTGATGATATTTTTAGATTGGTATTCTGACTGTCATGAGAAAATGCAGAGGGTTAATTTTTAGCAGTCGCATTACTAGATCATTTGTTGTGAGATTTAAGATTTGATAGTTACTGCCGAACTCCTCTCTAGAAAGGTGCTTTAACGGTATATGAGAGTGCTGAGTTGTTAGTCTTATTCATGGTGTATATTATCAAGGTTTTCCAATTGAAAGCATTTCGATGCTATTTTAATTGAGATTGTATAAAATTTATAGAGGAAACTATGGAGAACTTATATCTCACAATACTGAACATTTCTATCCAGAAACATGATATATCTTACTTTAATTTTTCTTCCCCTCAGGAAAAGTAACTAATGGGTACTAAGTTTAATATCTGGTTGATAAAATAATCGGTACAACACACCCCAATGACATAAATTTACTTATGTAACAAACCTACACTTGTACTCTTGAACTTAAAATAAAAGTTAAAACATTTTTCTTCCTTATTTTTAGAGTTTTCTTAAAGAACCGGCACACTTATTAAATATATTCCCACCTGCGTATGCTTTTAGAAAAATATTTGTATAATTTTGTAATAGATTATTTGCATATATGGTACTATTGACTTTATACATAATTTTGTAAGTAGTTGCTTTAGCAAATTTTCTATATTTGTAATATTTTTGTTGTTTCTTTTATTTTTCTACATATGTAATTCCATCAATATTTAAAGATCACTTTCTCTTTTTTTGTTTCTCTCTCTCTCTCTCTCTCTCTCTATATATATATATACACACATATATGTGTGTATATATATATATGTATGTATATATATATATTACCTCATTTTGTTTTCTAATTGAATTGGCTAGGACTTTGAGAATAAAAAGTTAAATAATACTTGTAACACCATCCTGGCCAACATGGTGAAACCCTGTCTCTACTAAAAATACAAAAAATTAGCTGGGCATGGTGGTGCACACTTGTAATCTCAGCTACTCAGGAGGCTGAGGCAGGAGAATCACTTGAACCTGGGAGCTGGAGGCTGCAGTAAGCTGAGATCGCACCACTGCACTCCAGCCTGATGACAGAGTGAGACTCCGTCAAAAACAAAACAAAACAAAACAAAACAAAACAAAAAAGAAAAACAGAGTACCTTCAAAATTTTTTACTGTGCATTGCATGTGTGTTCACAAAGGACCTCCGTGCATCATTGCGTGGTACTTGCTAAGTCCTTTAATACTTCTGGCAATCCCAATGGTGCTTCCTGCTGAAATATTTTCAGCTTTCAAAGCCGCCTCAACTGATCTTCAGTGCTCACCCTCAGGTTGCTTTTTCCTAGGCTACTCTACCTTTCATCAGCCACTACTAGCACATTCCATGGTTCTCATTATGCTGATGCTGACTTCTCTGGAGACCACAATGCACCAAAACTACCTTGCCTTCCATGTAGAGGTTAGATAATGCTTCTTTTATTTTTGTCACTTCTTTGAGTTAAATTTTGTTACTGATACCCAGCAGACCTGTTGGTTTTATATATTAATTTTTTATTGCTGCCATAACAAACTTAGTACCTTGTAACAATAAATACTCATTATCTTGCAGTTTGGTAAATAAAAAATCCTACACTAGACTCAACTCAGGGTGTTAGGGGCACATTCTTTCCTCAAGGATTTAATGGAGAATCTGTTTCCTTGCATATTCCAGCTTCGAGAAGCTACCCATATTCCTTGGCATGTTTCCACCTTCCTCCACCTTCAAAGCCAGCAATATTTCATCTCTGACCATTCTTCCTGACTAAGCTAGAAAAGGTTGCCCGCTTTTAAGAACCCATTTGATTAGACTGGGCACACCTGAATGACCCAGGATAGTCACCCCATTTTAAGGTCTTTAATTACATCTGCAAAGTCCTTTTTGACATACTTAACAAAAGTCAAGGATTAGTACATGAACATCTTTGGTGGGCCATTATTCTGCCTGAGCTACATTCTCTAACAGTGTATTGAAATTTTGGTATAAAGAGCTCCTTTCATGGTGTTTTTAAATTCCCCCATCCATTCTTTTATAGAATTCAGTCATGAATCCATTCATTATACCTGAGTGTATAATCTGAAAGACAGACTCTTGATGCTATCCCAATTCCCCATGAAAACATTTCTGGTCATTGCCTGTTTGCACTAAGATATTGCTTATATTGTTTTCAGCCTTCCAGATATGTTCAGCCAATATAAGACACTGGTAGAATATCAGAAGGTTGCTGAAGTAGAGAAGCCAGGACATTTCTTGAGTTAGCAGTTTCTGGTATGGGCTATGTCTCTTTCAGGGTAGCAAGTCCTGCCAGAGCAGCTCTCCTTTTTAATACCCATCCCCCACCAGGGAACTCCTGCTGTGGTTCTAGCTCCCCTTGGGTGTTCCTAACTTCTAATTTTTGGTGATACTACCTCCCTGCTGTATTCCTCCAGGACCTAGAGTTGGCTTTCTGCTGTTTCTGATCATTTGGTTATTTTTCTATGCCCTGCTTGGCTTTTCATCCCTTTATTACCTCTAACTACTTCCTTATATTAAGCTCCTTGTGTTTAAAACACGAGTGGTTTTTTGTTTTTTTTAAATTTTCTCACTGACCTCTTTCTGATACCAGATGAACAAATATGCATGCTCAGGCAGTCTGAATCCCAGGGCTGAATGTGGCTTCACCTCAGTGTCAACTTGTGCTATGTGCAAACCCAATTACAAATTGAAAAGTTCTTAGTGCTTAACAGATGTAGTGGAGCATCTCACTTAAATCAGTAAAGAATTAGTAGAGAAACTCTGGAGTCAGTATGTTCTGAAAAGAATAAACTTCAGTTTTAACCTACTTTCATGTAGCTGACTGCTAAAAATGTTACCAATTGGCACTGGAGTTTCCCTATACAGAAGTCAAAATTTCTGGAGAAATTAGACCACCCATGAGAAATTCTTACTGTTAGGATACTAACAAACTTTTATAGAAACAAGGATGCCTGATACAGAATTTGAAATTACTTGCTGTTATGCACTGAATTGTCTTCCTCAAAAGCATAGGTTGACATCCTAAGCCCAAGTACCTCAGAATGTGACTATATTTGGAGATAGAATTTAAAATCACTAACTTTAAAAAAGGTAATTAAGTTAAGATGAAGCAATTAGGGTGGGCCTTAATCCAATCTGACAGATGTTTGTATAAGAAGAAACTTGGATACACCAAGGATGCATGCACACAGAGAAAAGGTCATGTGAGGACATAGTGAGAAGGCGGCCGTCTGTAAGTCAAGGAGAGAGCCCTTAAGAGAAACCAAATCTGCCAACACCTTGATCACGGACTTCTAGCTTTCAGAATTATAAGAAATTACATTTCTGTTAAGCCATCTAGTCGGTAGTATTTTGTTATGGCAGCCCTAGCAAATTAATACATGCATTCTGTGATATAAATCCCTTCCATTGATGCAAATGTCAATAGACTATTACATTCACAGAAGTCCTTTGTGAGATGTATTTGGGGAGTGGAGTAGGGGAAAGGGAGGGTGAGATGGTGTCACAGAAGTATCAAAAAAATAGCTATATTCTTTTTTTGTAAGTAAGTAAGTTCCGGAGAGAAGGGAGCTGAAAAAGGGATACTGAAATAGAGAGTTCTGTAAGAGCTGGATAATAGTAACATTGATGACTAGGAAAGTATTACCATCCTGATCTGCTCTGAACACCCCTACCTCTGAACACACACCTTACCCAAGCCCTCTGAGAAGCCCTGGAGAGGACAGCGTTTTCATAATCATAGGGTGGTGAGTGAGCAAGCCAAATCTTAGTGAAATCTTAAAGGATATTTGGATGTGCTTATTTAGCTGCAGTGGTTAGTGATGGAATTAGAAAACAGTTAAATAGAAGACTTGAGGAAATAGCTAAAGGGAGACTAAGCATATCTAAGATATAATAAGATGACAATTAATGTGATTAAAGAATTACACTTATCGATGTTAAAAGCAAAAAATGGATGAGAGAGGGGGAAAAGCTGCTGGTACACCCACTTTTAAGATGACAACTGTAGCAGCATATAGCTCCATAGCAAGATAAAAAGAAAGCTTAATTTGACTAGAATATACATGATCTCATGTCACTCAAATGCACAAACACCCACAAACCATGCACTCATACAGATATATCTTTTCTCATATTGTTCCTTCTGCATGAAATGTTCTTCATTTCTTCTTGTGAATGTTCAATAACTAAATATTTTTTAAGCATTAGAGTGCTATCTCCCCTTACAGCATACCCCAAGGTGGATGAATTTCTCTTGCTCCTTTATTCCTCTCTACTAGCTTTATAATTCACTTTAGCATTTAATTAATTCAACATTTTACATATTCATTCTTACAACCAAATTTTGAAGTGTTATTCTTTTTTCATCTTGAATTGCATATAGGAAATTTATGAACATAATAGGTGCTGAATAAATATTTTCTGGGTAAAAGTTTTGTTTGGAAGCTTCTTTGCATGAATTTAAGAAAACAATAACCTAAAATTCAAAACAACTTTAGTCCAAGGTAAAGATTTCATTGTATTTTTTCTCATTTAAGTATTAGTATTTACATATGTAGAGACGGTTTTTCAGCTTTGCACATGAACTCTTCTGTCTTATGTTAGATTACAGAGGAGGAAATGGGTACAAGGAGTAGGAAACATGCCCCAAATGATACACTATTTAAAGGCAATAGCCCAGTAGTGATTCTAATATTTTGCTTAGATGGTGATGTTCACTATTTCTCTATGAGAAATGCCAACATTACACAAATGTCAATAATGTTTGCTTGCATACAATTAGGTCCAAACCAACAATTGCTTTATTGATGCCTATTATTTACTATATACAGATTTAAGTAGGATAAAAAGAATGATTGGACATGATATGGTCATCCCCAATAAGCTGATAATCAAAGTGAAGAGCTGAGTTATAAACATAGGAAATTTTTAGATTGTTGTACAAGCAAAGATTTGTCAATCAATTAGATAATGAATGACAAAATAGTTGGTTACAATGCTGTCAGAAATTTTAACTTGACATTATTAAGGCACTCTACTGGCAGAAACTTTCACATATCCAGCAAGAACTCATACAATTCAATCAAAACAACTTTTAAAGATTGGTTAGAATTTGGTCTGAGCTCTGGGCTGATTGTGAACATTCTAAAACATTGACCTGTTTTGGATTTCCATTACCACTTATGAATTTGCTCTTGTTCTCTAAGTAACCTGCTTTGGCTTCCTGATTTTTGGCTTAAGACTCTTAGTACCCATCTGGCAAAGGTATAGAAGATTGTACAATTAATAGTAATAGCAATAGATACTATTAAGTTAGCATATATCATGTGCCAGGCTCTCTGCTATGTGATTTATATTATTCTTATAATTATCCTGAAAGACAAACATTATTTTTTATACTTATAGATGAGAAAATCATTTTGCACATGAGAAAAATGAGGTAAAGGAGTTATGTAACTTTCTCTAGAATACTGAGCTAAGTAAGTGGTGTAAGTGGATTCACACCCTATTCTGTTCAGTTTCAGAGGCTGCAGTCTTCGCAAGGGACTTGGTGCAATTTATAAGATGGAGAGATTACCATTGTCTGGGGAGTAACTAAAAAGGTTTCATAAGAGAAGTGGCATTAGTGTCACTTTTGAATGAAGAGTAGCATTTTGGCTGGTGAGGTAGATGTAAATCCAGGTAGAGGGAGTATAATGAACAACCAACTATACAATGTAAGGAATGCATTTAAGAAATGATGTAAACTCCAGTCATTCTAGGGATAATGGAGTGAGATAAGACTTGTATAGAAATATGATAGAAATTACTTCTAATCATTTTGTTCTCTTAATTTGTTGCATTATGGAAAGTAATTGAAAGTTTTCAGCAATGAATGACATGGCAATAAGAGGATTATTTTACAATTTGTGTGAGAAAGGTGATTAGAGATTTTGTTTTTCTCAGCACTAATTAGAGAGGTATTACACTTCTACTCTTCCTCAGTGGGCAGGGCATCTCTGAAAGAAAGGCAGCAGCCCCAGTAAGGGACTTATAGATAAAACTCCCATCTGCCTGAGACAGAGCACCTGGGGGAAGGGGCAGCTGTCGGCGCAGCTTCAGCAGACTTAAATGTTCCTGCCTGCTGGATCTGAAGAGAGCAGCGGATCTCCCAGTACAGCGCTTGAGCTCTGCTAAGGTCCAGTCTGCCTCCTCAAGTGGATCCCTGACCCCCGTGTCTCCTGATGGGGAAACACCTCCCAGCAGGGGTGGACAGACACCTCATAGAAGAGAGCTCTGGCTGGCATCTGGCGGGTGCCCCTCTGGGACGAAGCTTCCAGAGGAAGGAGCAGGCAGCAATCTTTGCTGTTTTGTAGCCTCCGCTGGTGATACCCAGGCAAACAGTCTGGAGTGGACCTCCAGCAAACTCCAGCAGAACTTCTGCAGAGGGGCCTGACTATTAGAAGGAAAACTAACAAACAGAAAGGAATAGCATCAACATCAACAAAAAGGATGACCATGCAAAAACTCCATCCAAAGGTCACCAACAGCAAAGACCAAAGGTAGATAAATCCATAAGGATGAGGAAACACCAGCACAAAAAGGCAGAAAATTCCAAAAACCAGAATGCCTTTTCTCCTCCAAAGGATCACAACTCCTTGCCAGCAAGGGAACAAAACTGGACAGCCATGAGTTTGACAAATTGAAAGAAGTAAGCTTCAGAAGGTGGGTAACAACAAACTCCTCTGAGCCAAAGGAGCATGTTTTAACCCAATGCAAGGAAGCTAAGAATCTTGATCAAAGGTTAGAGGAATTGTTTACTAAAATAGCCAGTTTAGAGAAGAACAAATATGACCTGATGGAGCTGAAAAACACAGCATGAGAACTTCATGAAGGATACACAAGTATAAATACCCAAATTGATTAAGTGGAAGAAAAGATATCAGAGATTGAAGATGAACTCAATGAAATAAAGCATGAAGACAATATTAGAGAAAAAAGAATGAAAAGGAATGAAGAAAGCCTTCAAGAAATATGGCACTATGTGAAAAGACCAACCTTATGTCTGATTGGTGTACCTGAAAGTGACAGGGAGAATGGAACCAAGTTGAAAAACATACTTCAGGATATTATCCAGGAGAACTTCCCCAACATAGCAAGATAGGCCAATATTCAAATTCAAGAAATACAGAGAACACCACAAAGATACTCCTCGAGAAGACCAACCCCAAGACACATAATCGTCAGATTCACCAAGGTTGAAATGAAGGAAAAAATGTTAAGGGCAGCCAGAGAGAAAGGTTGGGTTGCCCACAAAGGGAAGCCCATCAGACTAACAGCAGATCTATCTGCAGAAACCCTACAAGCAAGAAGAGAGTGGAGACCAATATCAACATTCTTAAAGAAAAGAATTTTCAACCCAGAATTTCATATCTAGCAAAACTAAATTTCATAAGCAAAGATTAAATAAAACCCTTTACCAACAAGCAAATGCTGCAGGATTTTTGTTACCACCAGGCCTGCCTTACAAGAGCTCCTGAAGGAAGCACTAAACATGGAAAGGAAAAACCGATACCAGCCACTGCAAAAGTACACCAAATTCTAAAGACCATTGACACTATGAAGAAACTGCATCAACTAATGGACAAAATAACTAGCTAGCATCATACTGACAGGATCAAATTCACACATAACAATATTAACCTTAAGTGTAAACAGGCTAAATGCTCCAATTAAAAGACATAGACTGGCAAATTGTGTAAAGAGTCAAGACCCATCAGTGTGCTGTACTCAGGAGACCCATCTCACGTGCAAAGACACACATAGGCTCAAAATAAAGGGATGGAGGAATATTTACCAAGCAAATGGAAAGCAAAATAAAGTAGGGGTTGCAATCTTAGTCTATGATAAAACAGACTTTAAACCAACAAAGATCAAAAGAGACAAAGAAGGCCATTACATAATGGTAAAGGGATCAATGCAACAAGAAGAGCTAACTATACTAAATATATATGCACCCCAATACAGGAGCACCTAGATTCATAAAGCTAGTTCTTAGAGACCTACAAAGAGAGTTTGACTCCCACACAATAATAGTGGGAGACTTTAATACCCCACTGTCAATATTAGACAGATCAAAGAGACAGAAAATTAACAAGGATATTCAGGACTTGAAGTCAGCTCTGGACCAAGTGGAACTAATAGACATCAACAGAACTCTCCACCCCATATCAACAAAATATACGTTCTTCTCAGCACCACATAGCACTTATTCTAAAATCAAACACATAGTTGGAAGTAAAACACTCCTCAGCAAATACAAAAGAATGGAAATCATAACAAACAGTCTCTCAGACCACAGTGCAATCAAATTGGAACTCAGGATTAAGAGACTCACTCAGAAGTGCACAACTACTTGGAAACTGAACAACATGCTCCTGAATGACTACTGGGTAAATAACGAAATTAAGGCAGAAATAAATAAGCTTTTGAAACCAATGAGAACAAAGACACAACATTCCAGAATCTCTGGAACACAGCTGATGCAGTGTTTAGAGGGAAATTTATAGTACTAAATGCCCACAGGAGAAAGTGGGAAAGATCTAAAATTGACACCCTAACATCACAATTAAAAGAACTAGAGAAGCAAGAGCAAACATTCAAAAGCTAGCAGAAGACAAGAAATAACTAAGATCAGAGCAGAACTGAAGGAAATAGAGACACGAAAAGTCCCTCAAAAAATCAATGAATCCAGGAGCTGGCTTTTTGAAAAGATCAACAAAATAGATAGACCGCTAGCAAGACTAATAAAGAAGAAAAGAGAGAAGAATCAAATAGACACAATAGAAAATGATAAACGGTGGATCACCAATGATCCCACAGAAATACAAACTACCATCAGAGGATAAAATAAACACTTCTACACAAATAAACTAGAAAATCTAGAAGAAATGGATAAATTCCTGGACACAGAAACCCTCCCAAGACTAAACCAGGAAGAAGTCGAATCCCTGAATAGACCAATAACAAGTTCTGAAATTGAGGCAGTAATGAATAGCCTACCAACCAAAAGCAGCCCAGGATCAGACAGATTCACAGCCAAATTCCACCAGAGGTACAAAGAGGAGCTGCTATCATTCCTTCTGAAACTATTCCAAAAAATAGAAAAAGAGGGACTCCTCCCTAACTCATTTTATGAGGCCAGCATCATCCTACCAAAACCTGGCAGCGACACAACAAAAAAAAGAAAATTTCAGGCCAATATTCCGGATGAAGACCAATGCAAAAATCCTCAATAAAATACTGGCAAACCAAACCCAGAAGCACATTAAAAAGCTTATCCACCATGATCAAGTTGGCTTCATTTCTGGGATGCAAGGCTAGTTCTACTTATGTAAATCAATAAACATAATCCATCACATAAACAGAACCAATGACAAAACCCACATGATTATCTCAATAGCTGCAGAAAGGCCTTCGATAAAATTCAACACCCCTTCATGCTAAAAACACTCAATAAACTAGGTATTGATGGAACATATCTCATAATAATAAGAGCCATTTATGACAAACTCACAGCCAACATCATACTGAATGGGCAAAAGCTGGAAGCATTTCCTTTGAAAACTGGCACAAAACAAGGATGCTCCTTCTCACGACTCCTATTCAACATAGTATTGGATTTCTGGCCAGGGCAATCAGGCAAGAGAAAGAAATAAATGGTATTCAAATAGGAAGAGAGGAAGTCAAATTATATCTGTTTGCAGATGATATGATTGTATAAAGCTGATAAGCAACTTCAGCAAAGTGTCGGGATACAAAATCAATGCGCAAAATCACAAGCATTCCTATACGCCAATAATAGACAACCAGAGAGCCAAATCATGAGCAAACTCCCATTCACAATTGCTACAAAGAGAATAAAATACCTACATTTACAACTTACAAGGGATGTGAAGGACTGCTTCAAGGAGAATTACAAACCACTGCTCAAGGAAATAAGAGAGAACAAAAACAAATGGAAAAACATTCCATGCTTATGGATAGGAAGAATCAATATCGTGAAAATGGCCATATTGCCCAGAGTAATTTATAGATTCAGTGCTATTCCCATCAAGCTACCATTGACTTTCTTCAGAGAATTAGAAAAAACTACTTTAAATTTCATATGGAACCAAAAAAGAGCCCATACAGCCAAGACAATCCCAAGCAAAAAGAACAAAGCTGGAGGCATCACGCTACCTGACTTCAAACTATACTACAAGGCTACAGTAACAAAAACAGCATGATACTGGTACCAAAACAAATATATAGACCACTGGAACAGAACAGAGACCTCAGAAATAATGCCACACATCTACAGCCATCTGATCTTTGACAAGCCTGACAAAAACAAGCAATGGGGAAAGGATTCCCTGTTAAATAAATGGTGCTGGGAAAACTTGCCAGCCGTATGTAGAAAACTGAAACTGAACCCTTCCTTACACCTTATAAAAAATTAACTCAATATGATAATATAATTTATACAAAATTAACTCAATATGGATTGAGACCTAAAACCAAAAAACCCTAGAAGAAAACCTAGGCAATACCATTCAGTACATATGCATGGGAGAAGACTTCATGACTAAAACACCAAAAGCAATGGCAGCAGAAGCCAAAATTGACAAATGGGTTCTAATTAAACTAAAGATCTTCTGCACAGCAAAAGATACTATCATCAGAGTGAACAGGAAACCTACAGAATGGGAGAAAATTTTTGCAATCTATCCATCTGACAAAGGGCTAATATCCAGAATCTACAAGGAACTTAAACAAATTTACAAGAAAAAAACAACCCTACCAAAAAGTGAGTGAAGGATATGAACAGACACTTTTCAAAAGAAGACATTTAGGTGGCCAACAAACATATGAAAAAAAGCTCATCATCACTGGTCCTTAGAGAAATACAAATCAAAACCACAATGAGATACCATCTCATGCCAGTTAGAATGGCGATCATTAAAAAGTCAGGAAACAACAGATGCTGGAGAGGATGTGGAGAAATAGGAACACTTGTACACTGTTGGTGGGAGTGTAAATTAGTTCAACCATCGTTGAAGACAGTGTGGCAATTCCTCAAGGATCTAGAACCAGCAATACCATTTGACCCAGCAATCCCATTCCTGGGCATATACCCAAAAGATTATAAATCATTCTACTATAAAGACACATGCACACATATGTTTATTGTAGCACTATTCACAATAGCAAAGACTTGGAACCAAGCCAAATGCCCATCAATGATAGACTGGATTAAGAAAATGTGGCACATATACACCATGGAATACTATGCAGCCATAAAAAATGATGAGTTCATGTCCTTTGCAGGGACATGGATGAAGCTGGAAACCATTATTCTCAGTAAACTAATACAGGAACAGAAAACCAAACACCGCGTGTTCTCACTCATAAGTGGGAATGGAACAATGAGAACATATGGGCACAAGGAGAGGAACATCACACACTGGGGCCTGTCAGGGGGTGAGGAGCAAAGGGACGGATAGCATTAGGAGAAATACCTAATGTGGATGACGGGTTGATGGGTGCAGCAAATCCATGGCACATGTATACCTATGGCACATGTATACCTATGTAATAAACCTGCATGTTCTGCATGTGTGTCCCAGAACTTAAAGTATAATTTTAAAAAATAGAGAAGAGGTGTGAATAGGTGAGGAGGCCACAATGATATGCACAAGATTGCAAAGAAAGAAGTAGAAGAAAAATGAGAGAGAGAGATGAAGCAATGGCAACTAGTGCCCCTTCTGGAGTTGGTTGCTCACATCAAGGTAAATGATAGGAAATGGCACATAGAGTTTTCTGTCTTATAATATGCTTTTGTATCTCAATGCCTTTTTCCTCTTTCAGAGCATACATTACTCAAAGGCAGGAAATATGTGTGTGCTTGGAGAGAAAATAAAGGGGGTTACTAAAATAAAAAAACAAAAAACTTCTACTTTTAGAGAATGAATAAAATTGGCATTTATTTTCCAGTTAAAAGGAACAGTTGTATAAGCATGTAGAACTTTATGCCCAGAGATCAGAAGACAAAAGAGGGGTAGAGATAGATTTAGATCATCCATAGCTGACTGCCACATAAAAGTTGACAGGTTTGCCTGGCACATAGACTACAATGTGAATGGGACTCCAGAGTTGTGCATTGGAGTTCAAACCCACACAGGGGCTGCATGCCCAAAGAGGGGTGGTTCTATTACAGGCACTAAGTGAGGGAGTATAGAGAAAGAACTTTGAGAAATGCCCAAATTTAGTGGGTAAAAGGACAAGAAAGATAAACCAGCAAGGGAAAGAGGGAGAGTCACAAGCTGGTTGAGAATAGTGCAGTTGCCATAGCCCATGTCTCTTTCTCTGCATGATGTCCAGAACAGTCTTCATGATTCAGTCTTTCAAAGTGAAAATAGTGTGTGGCTCTTCCTTCACAATGTAAATTCTCTCTCGCTATGTATCTCTGTCCTTCTCTGTCTGTGTATATGTATGTGTGTGTTTGTGTGTGTGTGTGTCTGTGTATGTGTCCCTCTTTCTCTCACACATGCACATACGTATACATTAGCATTTGACATTGTCTTTGCTAGTTTCATTGTCAGATCAAATTAGTTCATTAGAGTTAAATGATCTTTGATAAAGCACTATTTACCGACAGCACTGGTTCCTCTTAAATTGATGCTAGTTAGGAAAAACTTAATTACCTTTCTCATTCTATATAGAACATTTTAATTTTAAAGCCTGATTCTCCTCTGAGAAATCGTACTTCACCTTCGAAATTTTATAAGGGGAATACTTTGCAGCCATTCAATAGCCATTTCTACCTTCATTATCTCTGTAAAGGAATATAGGTGTTTAAAATGGTTATGCTTGTTTTAAGTTTCAAGCCATCATATCAACTTTTGATCATCATCATCTGACACACTCTTTCTAAAGTCTTTGGTTGAAAAGTTGTATTTCAAAAACTATGTCCGTAGGGACATTTTCTTTCCAAAAGAATAATTAGTTCCTAAGAAATGACACAGCTACACATTGTCAATGTAATTAAGTGTGCTGTTGCCAAACTCAAGACAAGCCTACATTTCTGTCATCCTGCCTGATGCCAGAGCCAACATATCTTTTGCTTATTATTTTATAATCACCACTTAGAGAAGCTCAACAAAACTTCTTGAATCCTAGGAAAACCATAAAATAAGACTGGCTACAAACCTGGCAATGCCTCAATATCAAGACATGGTAATTTAGTCCACCCCTACCACTTGTCTTTTGTAGCAATGTGTCAATTACGCAGGAATTATTCTGCTTTCTAAAATCATCAGAAGAGGGTTTTCCATGACTTTGTCCTGTAATCAATGGAAATGCATGATAATGTGGATCATCAACAGTGAAAAATAATTTTAATCAGCATCTTCTTTTTTAGGCAAATGGTGAATAAATTTGATTTATTTTATTTTTCCTTGGCTTCTCTTTATGCATTTTTAACCATCTCTGTTATGGAGTTGGTTAGCTAATATTTTTGGCTGTACATGACAATGTTTCTTTCCTTCATTACCACTCTTCTGATATCAGACTTCACCTTCATATTTGCATTGGATGGGGCAGGGGTATTTACAGGGCTCAGACTTGACCTAGCATAGGGATGCCAACTCCCTGGACACAGTGTTTGCTCTGGGATGGGAGCTAGACCCAAGTATGTTGGGTTGTCAGACAACATACAGGATTCCCACTTAATTTTAAATTTCAGATAAACGTGAATAGGGGTCTAGGATATATTTTTTCACCTCTGTTGAAATCTTCTCAAATAACATGTGGGATATATTCATACTGATACAATTTATACTTAAGTACTATTTGCTCTTTATCTGAAAATCAGTTTTAACTGGGTGTCCTTTATTTTTGTTTGCTAAATCTGACAACACTATAAGTAGGATCAGAGACTTCTTTTGTTTTGTTTGCTTATTCTATATGAACACAAGAGAAATAATTTCCATTAGGATGTACAGGAGAGGATTAAATTGAAGCCCATCTGATAGCCACTTTCCCTGATGAGTAAGAGGAAAAGTAAGCCAAGTAAAGGAGTGCAGACACCTGAGGTAGCAGAAAGATGAAGTCTTCCTAATTCCAGCTCCTATCTGCAGGCTCTGGTACTGCAGCTCTTCCTTTTTATATTATGCACCATCCCAGCATCTTTCTCAGTTATGGCAGCCAGTAGATTACTTTTATTTATATGAGCAAGTGGGAGTGTGAGCAGTCACTCGTGCGGCGCTCTCCTCCTTCCCCTGGCGTCCTCCAGCATTTCCGCTTGCCCTCCATGCAGCAGCACCCACTCAGACCTCCCCTCCCACACAAGCTGCCCCACCCTGCATAGCATACTGTTTTCCCGCAAAAGGACCTTAAAAATTCTTGTTGAAGTAATCAGTGGATAGAGTCACAGGAAATAGGGAGTAGCTGTAATACCTTGATTAAAGAATGATATGTGGCCGGGCACAGTGGCTCACAACCTGTAATCCCAGCACTCTGGGAGGCCGAGTGGGGCGGATCACGAGGTCAGGAGATCGAGACTGGCTAACACGGTGAAACCCCGTCTCTACTAAAAAAAATACAAAAAAATTATCCGGGCGTGGTGGCGGGCACCTGTAGTCCCAGCTACTAGGGAGGCTGAGGCAGGAGAATGGCGTGAACCCGGGAGGCGGAGCTTGCAGTGAGCCCAGATCGTGCCACTGCACTCCAGCCTGGGCGACAGAGCAAGACTCCGTCTCAAAGAAAAAAAAAAGAATGATATGTAAAAACAAAGTTTTTAGGTTTTTAGGACAAATCTGCCAACAAGAATTTCTCATGTTTCAATCGGAAACTTTTTTTTTCTTTCCAGTGTTAGGATAGACAACCTTATTTCCTTCCCACAAATGGCAATTCTTTAGATTACTGGAGGGGGGACAGCTTGTCTGTTTTCTAATTTCAAAAACGAATAATTCCTTTAAAAGCTTCAGATTTTGGTGCTTTTGTCATCTTGCTACAGGGCTCTGGACCCTTGGCCAGTGGCCAGCTTTAGAAATGGTCATTTAGGAAGCAAGTCTTCCCCAGAGAATGCATGTGCTGAGTTGCTCTCATGTTTGCTGGTGGACAGTTGGTCCCGTGTCCCCAACACCACAAAGGCTTTCATGGACAGAGTCCTTCATGGGTAAGAGAAAAAGCTGGGACACATTTTTAAAAAACTTTTAGTACATGTAAAAGTGATGTTCTTTATAAGAAAAATGTTCTTTATTCATTTTGGAAAAAAAGTAGAGTCCAAATTTACCAAAGTATAAACACTGAGAGACAAAAGCTGTGGAGATATAAAAAACAGAAAAACAGGCACTTTGCTTCATGCATATATCAACAAATTTTAAAAATCAAAGACAAACTAAAATTGTCAGTAGGGGTCCTACAGGCAAAAAAGACATCATCTAAAAAAGAAGTCTTAAGGAGGGAGTGAAAAAGTAAAGATGGACGAGAACAGTGTAAGTAAATGCTGTATATCTTCCTTTAGGTTTTGAGCACCTTTTGGATTAATGCCAGAAGAAATCCTTCAAAAGTAAGTGGGTGTGTATGGTCAGGCCTGGCTTATGGGCTTCCCTGCCTTTATAGAAATCATGTCAATTAGTTTCAGCTTCATGAAACATTAGTCATAAAGGTGTGAAAGCAGTGGTCTAATTGAACCACAGGTAGCTTAATGACTCATTTTAAACACTTTACTCTCACTTTCTCAAGAAAATAGGAGGCACAATGAAATAAATTGCTAGGCTAAAGCCAAGTATCAAGAATCCTGATATTCAACATAGTTAACCCATAGGGTGGATGTAGAATCTGCAGCAAAGGCCCAGATCAGGAGCTAAGACTCAGATAGGACTGGATAGATTAGAGAAATCAACCATCTGGGCCAGAGACTTCAATATTGTGAAATAAATAATTGGCCTTTACAGCTAATGTAGAGACCAGTGCCTACTTGGAATTCTGACAAAGAGAATAAAGTAATTAAAACCAGATTGACCTCTATAGTTTGTCCTGAGCAGAATCTAACAAAATCCAGCTTCTTTTGTTTACCTGCTCTATCTCCCATGTTGAGTAAGAATATTGTGGTCAAGATGGAAGTGGGTAGTAGGATCTAGCCTGAAGCGGAGAGTGGAGCAGGAAATGTGGGATGTAAGGATAAGCAGAATTTGCTGAATGCTTTTCAGGAGGATGAAAGAGTACATCAGACAATAATATATAGTCTTTGTTAGCTTTTCTTTTTATACAATGTTATAGACTTCAAAGAGATTCTATATTCCAAATCTTCACAAGATTTCTCACAAGAATATTTATGTGAAGCAAGGTACATACAATAAAATTGAGACTCAAGAGATTAAGTTACATGCTCAAAGTCAACTGAATAATAAATAGCACAGCCTGGATAGACTCCAACCCAGAGCATCCTGAGTGATTTTTCCCAGGAATCTTTTCATTTTTATGTCTATTTAATTCTGATGTCCCATTCATATGGAGACATATGATATGGACTTCCGTTTGCTACCATATAAATAAAGAGCAATATGAAGATGGGATAAGGGAATGTCCAGAATGCCAGAGTCAAACTAGCATCAATAGTGGCAATTATCCAAATGACTGGGGAGAACACCAGGATCTTAGAAATGGTATTTTAGATGTTACCAAGCAAGGCCATCTAAAGTAAGCCTTCAAAGAGTTCCAGAAGCAAAGAAAACAGATGAAAAGGCATGAAAACATGAACACTCTAATAACAGTTAAAGTAAATGGGATTGCTCTTGCCAAGACCTATGAACTATATCTGATTGTAGAGAAAAATAAAACAGCGGGTGAGGTGGTGCATCCATTCTGCAGATATATCTTTCAATAGGGAAGGCAGTTATAAACGAGGTGACTCTCTCTTGATTTCCATGATTTTAATTTTGTGACATAATGTGTATTCATTTATATTTTCTATTGAGTATGAGTCCATACACAATTAATGGTTAAATTTTTGAAAATATAAAGATTTTTACTGATAAAATTTATCATTCAAGGTTGGGATGCATATACTTTTCGCAGTAAAAGAGCAACAAATTTGTTAGAAAGTAGTTTTAATTGGTATCCTTTAAAAGAACCTTGTAGGATCGTGTTACTTCACATATAGGAGAATATTTCTCTAGCTTGTGGCTTCAGTGATACATTTTTTATGGACTGGTTGCCAGTGATTCTCGCCCATGAAATGTATAGAGAAGTCTGTTGACACTTCTTATCCTCTCTCTCTTTTACCTGATTTGAAGCAAAAATAGTCATTTTGGAATTAAGAGGAAAAGGACAAGTGAACTTTTGACTTAATCTTAACATTGTTGAGCTCCTGAGCTAATGAAAGCAACAAGTTCTTACTTTCAGATTTTGCATTCTGTGACTAAACAAAAAAGACTCCCTCTATTTTTTAAATTACTTTTTAAAAATACCTAATCAGATATTTTATTAATTGAAACCAAAGGCATTTCTAACTGTACCCTAACTTCCTGTCTTGTTTTCTCTTTCAGCTTTGTGTCAGTCTTTCTGTTGTGGAGATTTTTTTTTTTTCAGTCTTTTTGTCTGCCTAGCATTTGCATCCCCTTTCTACGTGAGATTAATCTTGGTGGGAGAAAGAGCAAACTTTAAACTTTAGAAACATTAACTATATAAACTATAAAAACTAAAAATACCAGATACGTTCTCAGCCTGATTTGAAGCAAGGGTTTGGGCAAATACTTCGGGCTCTCTATATTGGATGCACTCATACCAGTTTTTGAGTAGGAAGTTAGTGACACCAAAAAACACGGGAAGTGACTCATTCTCTGATAAAGGAAGTGGTTACAGCACAATTGTGTTCCTGATAGATCAGTGACAACATTATCTAGGACACTCAGTGTTCTAGTTTTGTGGGGGCAGAAGTAGTTTCCTCATCAGCCCAGTTTTGCAGCCTCAATTGGGGCATTGTTCAAGATTCATTGTTCTGAGCAAGATGGTTCCGCTCTCCTGGTGATTCAGAGAGCTACCTATTAGTTTTTAAAATAAACTCTTTTTTATCCTCCCATTTATTCAGTCATGATTGATTTCTTATTTTGCTTGCAAATAAGGACCTTGCTTGATGTATTGTCTATCTCTTAGGCCAAAAGAATAGAGGCCAGAGAAGAGGAGCCAGGCTGGTAGAAACATCTCGCCTTTTCTGCTTGGGTATGCTGTCACCTTTTACAAATGAATAAGCATGTTAATAAGCTGACAAGAGAAAGAGAGAGGAAGAAAACACGTAAAAAAATAAAAATAGGCCAGGCGCTGTGGCTCATGCCTGTAATCTCAGCACTTTGGGAGGCTGAGGTGGGCGGATCACAAGGTCAGGAATTCGAGACCAGCCTGGACAATATGGCGAAACCCCGTCTCAATTAAAAATACCAAAAAAAATTAGCTGGGTGTGGTGGCGGGCGCCTGTAGTCCCAGATACTCAGGAGGCTGAGGCAGGAGAATCGTTTGAACCCAGGAGGTGGAGGTTGCAGTGAGTCAAGATCACGCCACTGCACTCCAGCCTGTGCAACAGAGATAGACTGTCAAAAAAAAAAATTCACGGCATTTATGGCTTTAAGGATCTGTGTAAAAAACTACTGGTAACACTTCAGGGTATCTTTAATGATATCAATTGATATGTCTCTATCATTCATTCATATATCCTTCATTCAGTAGGTAGCCAGACTCTGTGCTTCTTGGTCTCAAGGATGTTTTGAGTTTGAAAAAACTGAAGTTTTACTTCCAACCTAGGTTTTCATTTTCTAAGTCTATACTTTTTGATAAAGTTGTGCTAGACGCCCTTGAAAGAGAGGAGAGAGAGAATGCCTCCTACATGAAATAAAAGAAAAGGGATTACTTTTACTCACAGTGAAGAGTTTCCTTACACCCAGTTTCCTTACTCCTAGATCTGGAGATCTGTGATATCTCCAGATAGGAGTGCAAGGACACAGAACCACTGTAGGGATTCCTCAAAGGCCACAGCAGGACCCTGCTAACTATCAGTGCTGTGTGGAGGAAGCAAGACTTCAGGAGGAATGTTGGTGGGTTTCAGGCTCGCCAAAGTTTGCTCCATCCTCAGTGTGGTGCACAGAAGCATCGGTCAGGAAGAAGGCTGGATTTGGAGGGACCCTGTGGAACAGACTCCAGTGTCTAGGTAGTAAACATTGGACAGATGGCCAATGACCCAGGAGCCACCCTATGTCATTGTGCTACTAAGACCTTCACATACTTCATTACCCTGGTAGTAGAGGGTCCTCAAGAATTGCTGAGATAGATATTTGACTATCTTGGCAAGAAGTGGACAAGAAGTAAGTATTAAGTACATTTATAGAAAATAAAGAAATGCATTATTATATTAGTTTGTTAGAGCTGTTGTAACAAAGTATGTGGACCCTATGGGTTAAACAACAGATATTTATTTTCTCAAAAATATGGTGGCTAGAAGTCCAAGTCAAGTTGTCAGTAGGATGATTTCTCCTGAGGCCTTTCTTGTCTTGTCTTCTCCCTGTGTGTTTACTGTGTGTGCATGGTCTTTGTGTGTGTGTGTATGTGTCCTAATCTCCATGTTTTAATAAGTACACCACTCATATTGGATTAGGGCTCCCCCTATGACCTAATTTTTCCTAAATTACCTTTTTAAAGACCCTATCTCTATATACTGTCACACTCTCAGGTACTGTAGTTTAGAACTTTAGCATATAAATTTTGCGGGACACAATTTATTCCATAACAATTATATTTTGCCCAACTGAGTTTGAGATTGTGTTCAAGTTTTCTCTATTATGATGTTACAAATTATTGTTACTAATAATATAAATAATAATAGCAAATAGGTATTAGGCACTTTTAAAAAACATTTTAGGTGATAACTCATTTAATCCCTGCAATAGTCTAACATAAGAGATATATTGTTCACATTTTATTAATCAGAAAGCTGAGGCATAAGATTTCTGTAACATTTGTAAACACTAGGCTGCACTGTATCCCAATAAAAGTAATACAGTAATTACTAAGCATGGAAGGTATGGCATAATTGATCCTCCAGTTGGATCAGAGAAGGGATTTTTGCTCACTATGACCTTTCTCATTTTGTTCTTGATTCCTGAAGGTTCTGTCCTATCATTTAACATGGGTAGCTGTATTAGTCAGGGTTCTCTAGAAGGACAGAACTAATAGAATACATGTATATATAAAGGGGAGTTTATTAAGGAGTGTTGACTCACAGGATGACAAGGTGAGGTCCCACAATAGGCCATCTGGAAGCTGAGGAGCAAGGAAGCCAGTCCAAGTCCCAAAGCTGAAGAACTTGAGGTCCAATGTTCGAGGGCAAGAAGCATCCATCACAGGATAAAGACATAGGCTGGGAGGATAAGCCAGTCTAGGCTTTATTTATTTATTTATTTATTTATTTATTTATTTATTTATTTTTACATTCTTCTGCCTGCTTTTATTCTGGCCGCAGTGGCAGCTGATTAGATAGATTGTGCCCACCAGGATTGAGGATGGGTCTCCTTTCCCAGTCCACTGACTCAAATGTTAATTTCCTTCAGCAACACCCTCATAGATATACCCACAACGACACTTTGCATCCTTCAATCCAATGAAGTTTACACTCAATATTAATCATCACAGTAGCCATTAGTAATGCTAAAATTGGCTGGCTAGGAATTAGAGGTGAGATAAAACTCTTGAAATTATCTTTTTTTTTTTTTTTGTGACAGAGTCTTGCTCTGTCACCCAGGCTGGAGTGCGATGGTGCAATCTTGGCTCACTGAAACCTCTGCCTCCCGGGTTCAGGCGATTCTTCTGCCTCAGCCTCCCAAGTAGCTGGGACTACAGGCACATGCCACCATGCCTGGCTAATTTTTGCATTTTTGGTAGAGACGAGGTTTCACCATACTGGCCAGGCTGGTCTCGAGCTCCTGACCTTGTGATCCGCCTGCCTCAGCCTCCCAAAGTGCTGGCATTACAGACATGAGCCACTGCGCCCGGCCAAAATTATCTTCTTTTTTATCGTGGGGTACAGATATTTGGGTCTCTGGTTTCTATGTTATAGATAAAATCATAGTATAGAAATGCTACGAGTCTACAGCCTTATTATTATTTTTTTAATTTAATGGGCCTAGATTTGGCTCTGCAATAAAAAGTATTCCCAAACCTCAGTCAGTAAGGGTGCAATCTCCCTTCTGTAGTGGCATTTAAAGTCTTATTTTTCAGTCTTAGGGTCCATCCTCGTTGTTCAGTTTGTTTGGTTGTTTTTTTTTTTTTTTGTACTCTTCAGGTTTTGAGTGACTTTATTGGGAATTATGTGAGTCAGGGTCTACAAGATATTGATCTAGGACTTATTTCCTTTCTCTAATCATTTCAGGTCAAAGCTCCATTCCACTCTCTGGCTTCTGTGGAGGAAGGGCTGAACTGTGCCTAGTTATTTTGAGGTTTGGGACAAACCAAAGAATTGAGCATAGTGGTGAATCGTTTTGAAATGAGAGACCTAGCCAAGGATATGTTCACTTAGTAAGAGGTCACATCTTCTGCAAAATAAAAAAATCAATCAAATCTCTCTCAGTAAAATTGGTTGTTATGTGAAGGCACTGTAAAGCATAAATAATATGCAAATTGTATTTATTGTTGCTATTATTATTCTACTTCTGTGGTGTAACAATAGTAGCACCTTATGTTTACATACTAGTCACTTTATAAAAACTGGGACTAAAAATCAAGAACTACAGTTGACCTTTGAAGAATATAGGTTTGCACTGCATGGGTTTACCTATAATCAGATTTTTTAAAAAAATAAATACAATTGGGCTTCTATATTGGCTGATTTGCCACCCACAACCAAACACACGCATTGAAAATACAGTGTTAGCAGGATGTGAAACCTGCATATATGGAGGGCCAGAGGGGCGACTTTTCGTTTCTGCAGGTTCTACAGGGTTGACTGCCGGACTTGAATATGCACCAGCTTTGGTGTTTGTGGGCAGTCCTGGAACCAATACCCCACAGATACCAAGGGATGACAATATTTATTTTGAAATAATAATATAAAAACATTTAACACAATGATTATAGCAATTCATCTTAATCCTGGCTTCGTAGTAGAATTGCTAGGAGGCTTCTACATAGTCATGTCTGACTCTATCAAGATTAATTACATCAGTAGCCCTTGAGGTAAGGCCTGAGTATTACTAGTTTTTGAAACTTCCCAGGTGATTCTAACATAAATCAAGGATTGAGAATCAGTGAGCTATAGGAAGAGCTATCAGGCTTAGTCAGCTACCAGCTGCATATAAGTAAAACTCCTGAGTAAGAGTGGATTAAATAAAATAAATATTTTTTCTCTTACTTAAAAGAAATCTTGAGGGAGACACCGCAGGGCTGGTGTGGTGGCTCTGTGCTACTATTAGGAACCCATGCCCATGCCACCTCTTTCTCAGCATGTGACTTCCATTCACAAGATCACCTTGTAGCAAGATTTTTATGTATTTAACCATTATTTATTGGGCACCTACCCTATCATTGGAACTGTTCTAGGTTCTAATTGCATTTTAGATAGAGTGGCCACAAAATACCTTGCTGAAAAGGTGATGTTTGAGTAAAAAACTAAAGGAGGTTAAGGAGCAAGCCATGCGGATATCTGCAGTTAAGTCTTCCAAACAGAGCAAAGAAACATAAGTCCCTAAGGTAGGAATGGGCCTGCTGTATTTGCAGAAAAGCAAAGAAGCCAATGTGGCTAGCACTAAATGAGTACAGTGTTACGCAGAAGGGACATGAGACAGATGGGAGAGGGGGACATACTGAGTAAGCTTTCTAGGCTCTGAAAAGACTTTCAATTCATTTTGCCCCTGAGAGTACAAGGTGGGTAGGGTGTTAAACAGAGAAGAGACGTGATCTGACTTATGCTTTAGTTTCATAGGATCATTTTGGCTGCTGTGTTAGAGAATAAACCAACTAATGGACTAGGTGAAAGCGTAAAGACAAGTCAGAAGGCTATTGTAATTATCAGGGTGAGAGATGATGGTGGTTCCGACCAGGATGGTAGCTGTAAAGGTGATGAGAAATGTACTGATTCCAGATTTAATTTGAAGATAGAGCCAATACCGTTTGTAAACATAATGAGTGTGGCACGAAAGCAAAAGAGAGAAGTCAGAATGGTTCCAAAGGTTTTGTGCTGATAAACTGGAAGAAAGGAGTTGTCGTTTACTGAGATGGCGAAGACTGCAAGAGGAGAAGATTTGGGTTGAGACCAACAGTTCAGTTTCAACATGTTAAGTTAAAATGCCTATTAGACAGACGTTTGTGTCAGTTATCAATTTATTGCCTCTCAGCCTCAATATATGCTCTGTGATAAATAATAGCATTGCTTTAAGCATTTCTCCTTCAAAGTGAGCACAATGATAACATTTCTCAGTAGACAGTGCTGGGGGGCATTGCAAGGAGGCCTTCCTGCCGTTTCTGTCAGAGGTTAGCAGAGGTTAGGCACTGGCAGCGTGGGTGTGAAGACATCCAGTGAATCCTCCTTTGCCCTGGGATCCAGACCAGGTTCCTCTGTGTCCTTGCAGCCTCAGCCTGGCTGTTGATAACCTTTTTTTTTTTTCAGCCCCGTTAACATGGAAACCAGAGTCCCTACACTCTGTGAGGGCCTTCTTCCTCTGCTTGTGCCTCAGTTCCCTCTGTAAGCCACTGGCTAATGATCACCTTTTCACATCAGCACTCCAGAGAGTGGCTATTGCTTTCCCGGCAACTACAGACTGGCCTTCTTTATTATCCAATAGTCTGAACTATAACCTCTCCAATAACATTTGAATTCCTTCCAAGTTTTTCCTTGCTTGAGTATCCTCCCTCAGTTCTAGGGTACCATATGTTTTACTTTTGCTCTTTTATAATAGTTAATAATTCTTTATTTTACACTTCCCTGTTTAACCTACTATATGGTTTCTATCTGCTAGTTAGACACAGGCTACAATAACCCCCAGGTGAAGATGATGTGGAGGCAATTGGACATATAATCTTGGAGTTCACAGGATAGATTCACAGTGGGAATACACATTTGAAACTAATATTGTATAAATAAGGGTGAAAAGCATGAGACTGGATAAGCTCTTAAAGGAAGTGCATTTAGAGAGAAAAGATAAGAGATACAAGACTAAGCCTTGTTCTACAATTTGCAGGAAGAAGAAATAAGGAGAATGTAGCAAAGGGGCTTGAGAAGCAGTCTTAAGAAATAGAGAAAGACACAGGAAAGTGCTTAAAGGAGGATAATATGGTCAATTATGTTAAGTGAAACGATTGGTCAATTCATAATATGGTGGAGAATTTGCCATTGGATCAGGTAGTGTAAAGGTATTTGGTTTCAGCAGTTTCACTGGGGGAGAGGGAATTAAATTCTAATAGATGTGGGTTCCTGAAAGAATGAGACAGCAAAATTACAGACAGTTTGTATAGATTCTTTTAAGAAGTTTTGCTATGAAAAAAAAGAAATGTGAGTTAATGGATAGAGGACAGTGTGGAGTTAAGGGATGGGTTCTTGTCTTTTTAAGTGATAAAAGGACAAACAGTGTTTTTTTTTAATGCCAATGGGAAAGTTCCAGTAGGAAAAAAAATTGTTGATGAAGAAGAGAGAGGAAGTAACTCTTGGAATACTGGAGCAATGTCTTTGAAAAGAACGGAGGAGATGGGATCTTGTGTACAGGTGGTGGGGTTTATCCATAATCATAGGAAAGAAGACAAAATACCTGGGGGACACCAAATGCTACTATATAAGTAGATATGGTGATGGAAACATGTAGAAGTATTCTTTTGATTAAATATGTTTTGCCCATATAAGAAGTAACATTATCAGCTGAGACTGAAAGTTTGAGACGAGGGGTTCCAGGCTTGAGAAGACAGAAGTTATACATAACTTCTTGTATATGTCTTGAGAAGACATAGTTTACAAAGAGTGGAAGAATAAATTAACTAAAGAAAGATACAATTTGCAAGTGACTTTATGAGTCAGTAGTCATGGTGAAGTTAGAGGGAAGATGGCAGAGCAAGAAGCACCAGAAATACATCCCTACACATAAACAACTATTGCACTGACAGAATCTGTCTGATGTAGTTATTTTGGAACTCTGGAGTCTATTGAAGGCTTCCAACTTTCAGGAGAAGGCTTGGAAGGTAAATCGTGGTTACTTTCAGTCACTTTTGTTTTTTGGCCCGGTAGTGGCTACCCTTTCCCTAACTCCTGGCCCCGTAGCAGACAGCCTGTACACAGATACCTGGAGCAGCTTTTGGGAGGCAGTGTGGGTGATAAGGACTCTCTGTCCACTAAATACTGAAGGTTTGTTCTCTGACTGCTGATTGCTGCTCTGGTAGTGAAGATGCAGACACAGAGGCATGGAGCCATATTGCCTTCCTTTTGCAATCCTTTCCTCTTCCAGCTGTGGTGACTTCCAGGGAATTTAAAGTATTATCTCTGCTTCATTTTTCTCCTTTCTCCCTTTGTGGTGCCAGATGTTTAATCACTGCAATATTCAAAAGAAACCATATATACAGGGGAATTTAGAAAGTGACTATGCATACCGAAGGACAGGCTCAGGAAAGACCTGAGAAGATCTTAAATCCATGCCTTGGGCTGATTACCAGCACATGAATACTCTGCAACAATAAGAAACAAAACAAAACAAAACAAATCAGCAAACCTTGAGGAAGGAGAAGGACCTGAGAAGGATCTACAAATTTACCACATTATAAGATTTGAAAGTCCAGTATTCAATGACAAAAAATCACGTCATATCAAAATATAAGAAGGCATGACCCATTCAAAGGAAACGAAATTAATAAACAGAGCCTATTTCTCAGACAGATCATATGGCAGACTAACTAGGCAAAGACTTTAAAAGAACTGTATTAAAGGTGCTCGGCCAGGCGCGGTGGCTCAGGCCTGTAATCCCAGCACTTTGGGAGGCCAAGGCGGGCGGATCACGAAGTCAGGAGATGGAGACCATCCTGGCTAACACGGTGAAACCCGGTCTCTACTAAAAATACAAAAAATTAGCCAGGCATGGTGGCGGGCACCTGTAGTCCCAGCTACTCGGGAGGCTGAGGCAGGAGAATGACGGGAACCCGGGAGGCGGAGCTTGCAGTGAGCCGAGATCATGCCATTGCACTCCAGCCTGGGCGACAAAGCGAGACTCTGTCTCAAAGAAAAAAAAAAAAAAAAAAGTGCTCAAAGAGCCAAAACAAGAGAATACAAAGTCAAGAAGAGAAAATAATGCATGAAAAATGGAAATATTAATAAAGAGATTGAAAAGTAACCAAAAAGAAATTCTGGTACTGAAAATTACAATAACTGAACTGAAAAACTTATTAGAGCTATGGAAAAACAGATATAAGCAGGCAGAAGAAAGAATTATGAACTTAAAAATAGGACAATCAAAAGGTCTGAGGTATAGAATGAACAAAAAAAGTTCAAAGAAAAGTGAATAGAATCTAAGAGACTTTGTGTACGCCATTAAATAGTCCAACATGTGCATTGTTTGGAGTCTCAAGAAAGAAAGAGGAAGAGAATATTTGAAAAAGTAATGTTGAAAAACTTCCCAAATTTGATAAAAGAAACATATACAAACATCCAAGAAACCCAACAGACTCCAAGCAGAATAAATTCAAAGAGACCCACGTTGAAGCACATTTAAATCAAATATTAAAAGCCAAAGACAAAGAATCTTGAAAGTCACAAGAGAGAAGCAACTTTCTACATGTAAGGGATGACTGGTAAGAATATCAGTAGATCCTCGTCAGAAACTTTGGAGACCAGAAGGCAATGGGTTGGTATATTTAAAGTGCTGAAAAAACAAAAACAAAAACAAAAACAAAAACAAAAACAAACCTGTCAGCCAAGATTCCTACATCTGGCAAAACTGTCTTCAAAATTAAGAAAAAAAATTAGGACATTACCAGAAAAAACAAAAACTGAGTCAGTTTTTTACCACTAATAACTAGACTAGTATGAAATGCTAGTTACCACTAGACTAGGATGAAATGCTAAATTAAGCCCTGTTTCCATTTGAAATGAAAGGACACTAGACAGTAACTCAAATATGTATGTAGAAATAAATACCTCTGGTAAAAGTATTTACATGGATAATTATATAAGCTAGTATTATTGTAACTTTGATTTCTAACTCCACTTTTTTCCCACACCATATAAGACAATATAAACCAATTTTTCGTCTACGTTTCTGGACACACAATGCATAAAGATGTAATTTTGTTACACTGGTAACTGTAAAAGGGGTAGAAATAAAGTAATATAGTAGTAGAGTTTTTGTATGTTATTAAAATTAAGCTGGTATAGATTCAAATTAGAGAGCTATAACTTTAAGACATTAAATATTATTCTTATGTTAACCAGAAGCACAGAAATTAGAATGGTTGTTTCCAGGGATTGCAGGCAAAGGGATCGGAGAATTATTTTTTAACGGATACAGAGTTTTAGTTTTGTAAGTTAAATAAAGTTCTAGAGATGGTTACTACTAATGGTTGTACCACAGGGTGAATTTACTTAATACCATTGAAATGTACACTGAAAAATGGTGAAGATAGTAAATCTTATATTACGTATATTTTGTGACAATTTAAAAATTAGGGTGGGTGCAGTGGCTCGAGCCTGTAATCCTAGGACTTTAGGAGGCCAAGGTAGGAAGATCTCTTGAGGTCAGGAGTTTGAGACCAACCTGGATAGCATAGCAAGACATCGTCTCTAAAAAAAAAAAAAAAAAAAAAAAAAAAAAAAGCAAAAAACAAAACACACACACACAACAATAAATAAATAGATAAATTAAATAACTTAAAAAATAGTTAAAAGTCAAATTTAAGATGAGAGCATTCGTTATGGTCTTGTCTCTATATTCTGCTTTAGTTGTATGGTTACACATAAAGAACAAATTAAAATGTGAGTTCCCCAAGATTATAAGACAATTAGGTAATGTGAAAAGAGGATCAAGAAACAAAGAATATACAAAGGAATTAATTTAGTGATTGATTGTGAAATGCAAGCTGATTGCTAAAACTCTCACTGACCAAGTTGGTAACAGAAGGGAGTAGAGGACAGCACAACGGTGCTGACTATAACTAGTGAACTTCTTTTAAAAAGCCCTCTTGGAAGTCCCCAAAGGTTACATTTCAGTGGCCAGATTAGTCCTTTGGTGATACATAGCTTATAGGGATTCTGGAAAAATCTAATCTTTCATTTTAAGGAGTAATATGTTCTTCTAAAACCATTTTATTTATTAGGGAAGAAGGAGAGTGCACACAGAAAGCAACTAGCCTCTGTCACAGTATGAAACAATGTCTTGCCTAGTGAGTATCTTTAAAGGAGGAGAGAAGAAGTTGATTTAGCCTGGGGTTGGGATGGGGAGTAAGGTGAGATGTTCTCCTTTAATTAGAGGTAGGCACAAGGCCATTTAGGCAAAAATAAGAGTCAGACAACTGTACAGTAGGCTATTTTGCTCATTCATACATCTCTCTTCATCTTCTTCCTCAAGTCCTTATCTTTGAAGTCACAAGACTGATGTACTTTCATCCCTTTACTTACAGAAACTTATTTCAGGAAAGGATATGATAAACCTAATTTCATTAAATGGTTCAAATGACTGTAAAGTATAGAGTAATTAATTCGATGGTAGAAACATTTCTAAAGGGGATAGAGCTTGAAGCTAACAGGTACAACATCTTGTTGGAGTGGGTTCCTAGCTTAGGAAATGAAAATAATTTAAAGATATTGGGTACTTCCTAGCACCTCCCTAATGACTCTACCTTGGCTATCCCCTATCTGAGTGCTTCTAAGGGTATCACTGGCCAGACCTTCATGACTCAATCTGTCAGACTGTCAATCTGGCAACAGTTATTACATTCAGTCTGAGACAAAACAAAAGGAGCATTTTGCAATTGAATTGAATAAAGGTTAATAGCATAAAAGATGCAGAAATCACGACCACATAGCTGTGGGACTCAGACTTTTTACCACTTAATCAGTGAATGCTGCGAAGTTGAGTTAACCTCATGGCATCCAGTAGAATTGGCCCAGTACAAGTTTTTGCTTGTGACAGAAGCACATTTCTTTCACTGCTCACTAAACAGTCAAATAGAATTGACTGATTATTTGCCACATGCTACCAAGAGATAGCGCATGTGATAGACTACAGAATAGGAATGCTACTTAACGTGAATTTTATTACTTCTCAGCACCTGCTTCAGCCAACAGTCATTACTATCTATGGGAGGCTGTGCTAAGATTATCATTATTCCTGTATCTTTGCATTTGTATTCTGCCGACTACAGTGCAAGGTAAAATTGATAAATGGAGGAACTGATTGTGAGTGGCAGAAACCTGTAGCTGCAAATCCTTTGCAAGCCTGAAATATTAGGAAAGGTTGCGGGGATGGATTGTTTGTGTAATTGGAATCATTGTTTAGATATACCAGCCTTTCCCTCTCTTTATTTTTCTCAACCTCCTTCCTCCCCCCATTTCTATGTTTCTTTTCTCTATTATCTTTTGTCAAGTATTTTATTTTGATAAGAGACAAGAAAAAATATAATAATAACCGAGACCAACACCATTAGGCCAAAAATCCAAATAAACCTAATTCTTCAATCAGTGAGATCAGTGCTAGAATTGTATAAACCCGTGTATTAGGAGCCAGGGCTAATATTTACTCAGAATAGCCAGACCAATTGTTGAAATATTGAAATGCCTCTCTACCAAATGGTACCTATCTGTTGACCCAAACCTTTGAATATATCCTTGCCACCAAGTCCCTTGCTGGGTCCATAAGGGTCCCTAAGATTCTCAAGATTTCTCCAATATCTAGAAACTAACGCTTTAGACACTGGCTTGGTAGGGACTCAGCAGGAGCAGCTCTTGTCTTACTGGATTGCTCTGAGCCCGTGTCACATCAGTTGTAACTGCTCTAATTTTTAACTGCTGGAATGCCCTCCAAAGACTCAAACAAGAAAAGATGCTGTGGGGTAGGAAAAATAAAATTAATCACTTTTGTGTAATTTATTGGCTTTTTGTTCTTAGTAGCAAAACCGGGCTCTTAGTCCTCTTGGGTCTTTGGTGAGGAGTCGAATCAGTATTCCTTTGCTTATCGAAATGTCTGTTTTTCAATAGGGAGTATCAACTCAGTGTCAGAATAGATGCACAAAAGTAACAGAACATGCTGATTCCATGGGTCAGGGACCCCTCCCACGCCCCCACAGGTCTAACTCATTTTGTGTGGTCTACTGTGACCCTTACAACCTTCGCCTATTAGTATGTAAAATGGATTACTACTGCATGCATTATTTGTAGGTGCCCTTATCTGGTTGGGGCTCCCAGAGGATTTAAATTTTACCTTTTGGATATTTCTTTCCTTTAAAATTCAGTAGACATAAAAAATGTTTCATATCTTTAGCAGGATTCATGTCTTTTCAATCATAGTTAACAATGGTGTTCTCTGACAGAAATTACATCCTCTGCCACATTATTATGTGCATTTCTTTGAACCACCATTTGTACGCTGTGTGTGATTGGGTCTGTACAGATTAAAATAGCACCAAGAGAGCCAATTTAAGGCTTGGGATGAGTGAACCTGAACATTAGAGACATTCTGGCAAGCACACACCTCGTAAATCCTGTTGTTAAGTTTGCGGCGCCTGCCATGGAATGTGCAGCTCGGGCACTTTACCCTCGTTAGTGCAAAGGTAAATTGTAAGGGCTCTCACACAGCTCCAAGGGGAATAAAGAAGAAGGGGGAATGGAAAGGACTCTCTTAAATCTGATAGCTGTCCTCCTTGGCACCTTAAGATGCAAACACACTAGTCAGAAAGGCTAAGACCTTTGCTAATTTTAGTGTTATGCTAATTAAGTACATGCTATTATTTAGTAAAAAGAAATCAGAATGGCTTTTGCCTGCATGTTCAAAATAGAAGAGGGACTAGGAAAAATATTCTATAAATAGTTTATTGATAAGATATGGTAAATATGGTAAAAGATGAGGCTCATGATGGCAGTCTGAAAATTGAATATCTATTTTCCTCAAAAATTTGTGATCTTAAATAACAAATATATTTACCTGATATGATCATCTCTTAGAGCAGTGCTTCTTGACTTTGTTGGCACATTAGAATCTCCTGGGGAACTTTAAAAAATACTAAAGCCTTGGTCCTGCCCAGAGAGATCTGTTTTATTTGGTCTGGGGTGTGGTCTGGCATCAGAGATTTTAAAATCTCCCTGGGAAACTTTAATGTGTAGTACAGGTTTAGAACCACTTGGTGAAAACCACCTTGAATCATTTAGTTTGGGATAAGGTTCTTTTGTGACACAAAAGCTTTTTAAAAAGTAAGGAATCACCTATTTATAATTGTATATTTTCAATATACGTATATTTATCAAACTGTAAGTGAATCAGCAAATAATTGTTTAAAACTTTTAAGCCTTGGAAACATTTTGATTAAGAGATTGAATTTTTAGTTGAATATGTCAAGAAATATGGTTTAATAGCATAGTTTAACATTATAGTGCTATATAAAGCTAATATAAATCCAGAACTGTATATATCTTAAATTTTATAGTATCTTTAATTTCAAGTCATTGAGAAGTAAAAACAAATCAACAACTCTGGAGCTTTCACTGTTAATGTTTTAATGAGAAATGTTTTCCTGTAGGCACTTAGCAAAAGCAATGGTATTTCTACATAACAAAGTAATATTTCTTTTCCATTGAAAGAAAGACAATAATCTCTAGACGCAAGATAATGGCAGCTGACTGCTGAAGACAATTTATCTGATTTGGTTACAGTTAGTTAAGAACACCAGGGTTTCTGCGCATCAAACCTGCTCTATATCAGAGACAAGGGGAGATTATTTTGGTGCCCGCAACAGTCTATGAGCTGCGTGAAATCTATTGGAACTTTGAGAGGTCAGGAACTGGATTTGATACAATTATTTATCATTGCTTGGCTATCTACCAATGTGAAGGACAAATTCCCTTCATTAGTAACTTAAAACTGTATTGGTGGGGTCTTAAAAGTGTCCGTTAAGTCTTTAAACATTTTTTTTGTGTGTGTGCAGAATAACACCACTGGTTGATTATTTTTTAAAGCATTGAAAAAGTCTATTAAAGGTATCATAATACATCTTTTTGTTCCTTCAGAAATAAATCACCTTTCTCATCTGTCTTTGCTAGATCTGAGTAGAAAAAAATATGAATATTTAAACTAATTGTTCATTCTCCAATAACACAGTAACATTTTAAGGCAAGACATCCCTAGGTGGCCCTCATCTGCTAGGAATCTACTTCTATCAAAGCAGGTTTGAGAAAAAAGATGTTAAGAGAAAATTATATATCAATTTACACTGAGGAGTAGCCTGATAGTTGATGGACAACACTCTTTTCATGGTTCCAGCAAAAGCGTCTTAGAAATATTAATAGTTGAGTTTTAGAGAGTGTAATTCTCTAATACAAGAGGTTTTTGATTTATGGATACTTATGAAACAAACTCTATTCATTTTACAAGTGTCTCTGTAAAAGATGTTGCAAGACATCTTTGTAGAGCTGATGCTATTGTCCACAAAGAACAGAATTTGAATTTCAATTTTTTCAACTTTTCTTTCTTTCTTTTTTGTTTTCCAATCAATTTAGAGGTTTATTTTGTCAAGGTTGAGGATGTGCCTGGGAAAACGAGACACATCACGGTAAGATCTGTGGCCCATGTTTTTCCAAAGAGAGTTTTGAGGGCCTATATATGTATATATAAACTCTCATATATATGTGTGTGTATATATATATATATATATGCGAAACATATATATACACACACACATACAAGGCCTCAAAACCCTCCAGGAAATATACAGACATACATATATATACACACATATAAAGTATAAATACATATGTGTGTGTGTGTATATATATATATATATATATATATTTTTTTTTTTTTTTTTTTTTTTTTGAGACAAGGTCTCGCTCTGATGCTCAGGTTGGAATGCCATGACATGACCATGGCTCACTGCAGCCTTGATTACCTGGGCTTAAGCCATTCTTCTTCCTCAGCCTCTCAAGTAGCTGGGACTACAGGCATGCACCACCATGCAAGGCTGATTCTTTAAAAATATATATTTTCTTTTTTATTATACTTTAACTTCTGGGACACATGTGCAGAATGTGCAGGTTTGTTACATAGGTATATATGTGCCCGTGGTGGTTTGCTGCACCCATCAACCCGTCATCTACATTAGGTATTTCTCCTAATGCTATCCCTCTCCTAGTCCACCACCCTCCAACAGGCCCCAGTGTGTGATGTTCCCCTCCCTGTGTCCATGTGTTCTCATTGTTCAGTTTCCACTTACGAGTGAGAACATGTGGTGTTTGGTTTTCTGTTCCTGTGTTAGTTTGCTGAGAATGATGGTTTCCAGCTTCAACCATGTCCCTGCAAAGGACAGGAGTCATCCTTTTTTATGGCTGCATAGTATTACATGGTGTATATGTGCCACATTTTCGTAATCCAGTCTATCATTGATGGGCATTTGGGTTGGTTCCAAGTCTTTTTGCTGTTGTGAACAGTGCTGCAATAAACATATGTGTGCATATGTCTTTATAGTAGAATGATTTATAATCCTTTGAAACTTAAACAAACTTACAAGGAAAAACCAAACAACCCCATCAAAAAGTGGGTGAAGGATATGAACGGACACTTCTCAAAAGAAGACATTTATGCGGCCAAAAAACATGAAAAAAGCTCATCATCACTGGTCATTAGAGAAATGCAAATGAAAACCACAATGAGATACCATCTCACGCCAGTTAGAATGGCTATCATTAAAAAGTCAGGAAACAATAGATGCTGGAGAGGATGTGGAGAAATAGGAATGCTTTTACATTGTTGGTGGGAGTGTAAATTAGTTCAACCATTGTGGAAGACAGTGTTGCGATTCCTCAAGGATCTAGAACTAGAAATACCATTTGACCAACTTTTCTTTATTTCTTATAAAAATATATATTTTATTTTCTCAGTTTATGAGTCACAAAGATATCCACAACTTAAAAATCATTGTCTTTTCCCTTGGTTCTACACCGATAGCATTGAAACCTCCCACATTATAGGTGTTCAACAGAAATTTATCTGAAGGAATAGAAGAAGGAATGAGCCATGATTTACAGAAATAAAGAGGGGAAAGTTGTGATTATCAACAAGGGACTTTCACCAACTTACTATCATTTCTTTTTCTTCTTCTAATGAGATTTGAGCTTCTCTATTCTTAACTGGATCGTTCCTGAGACATAAGTGCTACTTCTTCTTTCCCTGTAATTCTGAACAACACTTAACACTAATTTATTTTATTGCTTCGTGTAGTTTGACATAAGAATTTTGAACTGTATTTCCTCCTTAGCATCATAGAATGTTAAAAGTTGACTTAGGAAATAATGAGATACTATTTAAAGAATGTAGCACAGCATATAGCAGATGGTAAACGCTTAGAAATGGATTGACATTATTATCATGTATTATATCATCTTAGCTCCCATGACTTATCCTTCTCTGACTTCACAGCTGAGTAAACTGAAGCCTTGTGAGTTAAGGAATTTCCCCAAAATAAAATTAAGAGCTATCTTCCGAAGATGAAACATAGGTTCTCTTGAAAGCTGATCTACTGCTTTTTAATACATGTCCCATCAACCTCTTGCTTACCCACGTACTAGCTAGTGGCAGAGACAATGTTATGATGCTCTCCAGGTCCTGTTTCATTTTCCTCCTCTTAGGCAAACAAGGCTATGTTTTCCAGTCTTCATAGATTAAGATACAGTGGCCTGAATGATTGTGTCCCCTGAAAATTGCTATGTTGAAATCCTAACTCCCAAGGTAATGGTATTAGAAAGCGGGTCTTTGGAGGATGATTAGTTCATAAGAGTGGAGCCTGCATTAATGAGATTAGTGTCCTTGTAAAAGAAGCTCAAGAATAATCCTCTCACTGCTTTGACCATACAGGGACACTGTAAGAAGACATCCTATATGAACAAGAAAGTCTGCCCTCATCAGATATCAAATTTGCCAGCACCCAAAATCTTAGAATTTTCATCCTCCAGAACTGTGAGAAATAAACGGCTTTTGTTCATAAGCCATATAGTTTATGGTATTTTCCATAGCACCCAAACGAGGGGATTGGATTAACTTCTGGCCAATAGGAAATGGTCAGAATTGATTTAAGCCAGTTGCAGGACTGACACTTATATCCTGTGTGAACCTGTCCTATAGTCTCATTTTTCCTTCTATGCTGACCTCAGAAACTATGTGTTTCAGAGAGTTTAGCTACATAATGGCAGGGGCTCAGATGCCTGAATCATCACTTGAAAGAAAACCGTCAAGGAGAATAACTCAGCTTTACTGGACTTTAACTTAAGGAAAAAAAATAAAGTTTCTTGTGTTAAACTGCTTAGATTTTAGGATTTCTTTTTTACTGCATCATAGTCTGTTCTATCTCCATAGTCTATGACAAGCTGTGGGCTTCAATAAAAGGTATTTTTATCTAATATAGAACTCCATTAATCCCTTTTCTTTTCAAAGGTGAAACAACCAATGACTGCTTTTAATTATAAGGAGCAGTGATTAATTTGGCCCATGTTTCTTTATTTTTCTGTCTTTTCTTTATTCAACTTAGTTGTAGATAAACAACTAAGACTAATTTTTTATGTTTTTTGCCTAGGCAAATGTTTTCCATAGGCAATTTTTTCTTTTTTGGCACTCTGCCTCAGTTTCCTCATTATAGAATAGAAACAATATTTTTTCCCTCTTTATTACTCAGTGCGGTCAAAAAGATAAATGAGTTGATAGTTATTAGAAAAGTAGTATATAAGCATAGAACATTATGTTATTATTATGTTATTTTCACAAAAATAGTAAGAAAGGCTTCTGCATTACAAATCTGGGGAATGCTATGAAGGCAAGATTTATGATTTGTTCAATGATCTGTTTTTCTTTGTAGCATTGGAATAATTCCTTTAGGTTGCATAGATAATCTACTTATCTTAAAACCTAAAGGCATCTTAACATGTTCATATGAATATTTAAAGTGGTTCAGGGCACTGATACTAAGAATGTTATGAGAGATAAAGTGATTGGTATGAAGAAAAGCATGGGTGGCTTTTAATGCAGTTTCCTATTGCAGTATAAATGTGCAGTTGATTCTAGCCTAGATGTAAGTGAAAAATAGTTACAATACCTAGGGGCTTAGTGAACCTTGTATAAAAGTAATATGGATAATAGTTGATCTTAAAAGGAGACTAGTGCCTTAAACATTTTAATTCTTTATAGGACGTGTGTCATATTTTAAAACAGTGTTAATATTTAACCATAATTAGTCTTTAAACTTAGGTCATTATTATAAAGTATTCTTTGTGATCTCCTTGAATCATAACTTAATTATGCAAAATGTATTTATTTTAAACTTTGAGACAATTTAAATGTGTCCTCAAATATATTTAACTATACTAGTAGGGATTAAAAATAGAGTAATAGGATTAATCACAAAATAGTAGTTCTCTTGCTTCATACATTCACATGACTTGCAGAAGAACTAACTTCACTAAAATTTCCTTCAAATGATTCTGATAATCCTTAGAAAGTGTGCAATATATGTTCCACTGACCCCCGTACTTGGAAACCCCATGACATTGACTTTTCCTCCTCTTCATCATTGGCCCACTGGGAGAAACATCCTTTCTCGATATGCAAAGCAGGAGCCAGGCTACTGATGAGTCTCAAAGATGCCATTTGTTCTGACACTGATGCCTGCAAACATGCTCTGAGGTTAATAATACACAATGCTCAGGCCATTGATGTTTGCACTAATGGTCTTTGTGACCAACGAATACTTGGCATGAAGTGGTTTCTCTGGCCAACTCTGCTCAAAGTCTCATGATGGGAAGAATGATATCATTATTTGTGATAGCAAGAATCTCTCTCAATCTGTCAATGGCTAATGTTAAGGGTGTTACTCATTAAAGAAATTGTGGTAAAACAGCTTATTTAGGCCCCCTTCTTTTTTTTGTTGTAGTTCCCATTACTTACAATTCAGATATGAGTCCTTTAGATGAGGACTTGTAAGAACAGACCTAACTAGTAAAAAACATGCTCAGTTTACACTTCCTCCTTTGGTCTGATTCTCACTCCTCGTCATGCAACAGAATGTGATTCTGTTTTCCTTTTGGGGGATTCACAGCTTACTAGTCAATGTACTTTATTCTCGTGGTCTAGAAATAGTATGGACATATATGATGACTAGGCAAAAGGGAAACCAAACGTATTAATCCTGATAAGTCTCATCTAAACCTAAAACTGTATTGAAGAACATAAATTAGTTAGAATCCCAAGTAAGCCTTCCCCCACTTTCACTCTATACATAACTCTTGGGATGTAGTTCTTGTAGAACTAGATTAGGTGCTATTAGAAGAGTGTAGAAATCAAGAAACACATGTACGTGTGTGTGTGTGTTTGTGTGTTTTAAAGATGGATGATACTAGAACATATCTGAGTGCTAATGGGAATTACTCAGTAAAATAGGCAAGGCCGAAGGTGCAGGATGGAGGCTGGTGAGCCACTGGATAAATTCCCAGAGATGAGGAGAGGAATGCAGAAGACTGCTGGACATAACCGGCTTTGGACAGTGCGATGGACTCATGTGTTCTTGTCCTTACATTGGGAAGCTTCACTGCTAGAACTCTGCCTATATAATCTTTCTTTTTTTTTTTTGAGACGGGGTCTTGCTCTGTTGCCCAGGCTGGAGTGCAGGGGCACGACTTTGGCTCACTGAAACCTCTGGCTTCCCAGGTTCAAGCAATTCCCCTGCCTCAGCCTCCCAAGTAGCTGGGGCTACAGGTGCATACCACCACGCCCGGCTAATTTTTTGTATTTTTAGTAGAGACGGGGTTTCACCGTGTTAGCCAGGATGGTCTTGATTGCCTGACCTTGTGATCCACCTGCCTCGGCCTCCCAAAGTGCTGGGATTACAGGTGTGAGCCACTGTGCCTGCCTGGCTGCCTATAATCTTTCTATTTCATAGTTGACAACCTCATTTCTACCCTTTCTTTTGGACACTATGCAGTAACACCCTTCTGCTTACCCACCCTGATTTGGTCTAGATGTCCCTCATTTGTATTCACTAAATGGTGAAAGAATACTTTTATTGTAGAGCTTTTCATGTCTATTGTAAATAATAACATTTTTTTTACTTCTCAGTTGCTCCAACTAGGTTGTAAACTCCTTGAGGGCCTTCTCTAATTAGTTTTATTATAGTAAAACGTGCATAACATAAAATTTACCTTTTTAACCATGTTTAAATGTGCGGTTCTGTGGCATTCAGTAAATTTACATTGTTGGGCAACCGTCACCATCATCTATCTCCAGAACTTCCTCTTTTCAATTGAAACTCTGTACCCATTAAACACTAATACCTCCATTCTTCCCTCCCCCAGACCCTGGCAACCAACATCTAATTTGCTTTTACAGACTCAGAGATGAACTTAATGTTTGTCATATAATAGGTGGGCAATAAGTATTTATTCAATACATGAATACAGGTGCTCATTAATCTGTGTTAATTTTCCTGGGAAAATATGGGCCAATGCTTTTATATTTGGAGTTGACTATGTCAACTCCATTATTCTCTACATTAATCAAATGAAATTTAATATACAAAAATTTATTCTAATGACATTGTGCCCTTATTTGATGAAAGAACATTACGATAAAAAAGGACTGAATAAAAGTGGATGACAATCAAAACCCAAAAGATGGATACATGCAAAACAGAGCATTCAGATCATTAAAAAACATAAACACAAAGGAATTCATTTATCAGTAACCTTTACAAGTAAGTACAAGAACAAAAATAATCACCAGTTTCAGAAAAATGCCAAATAAATCACAATGTCAGCCACCATAATTATAGAATTAGGGCAAAGGAAAAAAGGATTACACCAGTGAGCTTTTTTTTGGTTTCAGAGATGTTGTCATTTCATGATTGGGTTGCAGATACTGTTTAGAAGTGGCAATGAAAAACAGGTAGGTTGAACCCAATGAAATTATTTGGTTTTTGTGAATAAACAGAATTAGATTGTTTTTGGAAAAGTAAGAAGTATTATTTCATAACTTTGCAATGCTTTCTTCAATTTTGAGTGGGACAAGCATTTGAAGCTTGAAAGGTACTATTTTTGAATGCAGTGGTGCCTTTGGTGGCATCATATTTACTGGAATTTCTAAAAAAGCATGAGTTTACTGAATACTATAGGTATAGTTGCAATAATAAATAAATGACAACAGGCAAATATTCCTGGAACAAGAAATTCCTGTTGGCACTGGTAAAGCTGAGTTTCTCTGTTTCTTTATGCCTGAGGTATAAATTGGCATTAAGGCTGCTGTGTCAATTCAGCTTTCTTCAAAATACAGGTTAATCTCTTGAATGACATAGAGAAAAAATAATCTAAAGTGAAGTGTCAATTTTCAGTGATGAAAGCCAGTCATGTGAAGTTAGCACACGGTGCCAACAATGAGACAGGAAATCCTGGTCAAGAAGGTTGGAGATTACTAGTGGAGAAAGTAACATTTATGAAATTATGTAAATGTGTGGTTTCAACCCCTGATTCCCTCCAATTTTATAGAATTGTTTTTATAATGCAAAATGATGCTTTAACATTTAGAAAGTCATGTAATCCTATAATTTGGGAAATGGTTTAGATCATTTAAAAGCATTAAACAATAACCTAGACTTACCAAGGTAATGTAGAGAGACGCTAGGCTTTGAATAACTCAGCAGATTTTAGTTTTGCTGCTTACTAGCTGTGAGACTTAGGCTAAGCTCTTTAACTTTGCTAAGTTTTAGTGGCCTTTTCTGTAAAATGAGTAGATTGAGCTAATCAAGTTCTATAAAGTTGTGAAATTTATAAACAGAGCAAATATTAAACTATTAGTTTTTCTTCACACCAAGTTCATCAGAGTTTGGGAGTGACATCAGATAAACAATATTCAACTTACTGAATTGTCTCTCAACTCCCATGTTGTATATATTCCAAATGATCCAGCTGTGTACATCTGACCTATAAAGCATTGACTTACCAACTTTGACTGACAAGCTTAGGTTCATTACATGAGCTCACATACTTAGACACATAGTAGAATTGGGTTCTATTTTTCTCAATTCTGAAGCACAATTTATTGTGCAAAGATTAAACACTTTTCTTCCTGAAGATAATGAGAATTGATTTCTTTACCCCCAATCACAGTTTCAAACTTCAGGAGAGGAACTTTAAATAAATTGGTTTTTAAATCTTATAGTCTCTCTATGTCCTCAAGGGTAAAAAGGTATTATGCTATTTAAATGATGGAAAAGCATGTGCACCTCATTGTACTCCTTTACACAAGTAAATACGACCTCAGGGACCTTAAGCTTTAAAGCAAAAGATTCATCACTATCTTTACCTTGGTAAAGTTTATGAAGATTGAATGTAGAACTCACTTTGCATCTGAGAAACCTTGAACAACTTATGTACAAGAAGCTAAGTTTTTAATTTTTTATTAAAATGTACTCCCCTTTTTAAAAAAAATATAGTTTTAAATTATCTTCATCATATTGTTCAAAATCCCTTATTTTTGTAGATTTCTGCTTGAATTAGATGATAGAGGGAAAAAACAAGTCTGGAGATGAATATGTATACATTTTGTTTTTAGAAAGCCCAGACTTCTTTTTTGCCTTCACTATCAAAACATGTAAAGCAAAATTTAGTGTCCAATTGAATTGACTTGCTTAGTTCTGATAATTAGTATTTTCTTTCTTTAGTTTAAGTTCTTTAGAAGTATGCTCTTCTGGGGGCCGGGTGCAGTGGCTCACGCCTGTAATCCCAGCACTTTGGGAGGCCGAGGAGGGCGGATCACGAGGTCAGGAGATCCAGACCATACTGGCTAACACGGTGAAACCCGATCTCTAGTAAAAATCCCAAAAAAAAAAAAAAAAAAAAAAAAAAATTAGCTGGGTGTGGTGGCGGGTGCCTTTAGTCCCAGCTACTTGGGAGGCTGAGGCAGGAGAATGGCATAAACTTGGGAGGTGGAGCTTGCAGTGAGCCGAGATTGTGCCACTGCACTCCAGCCTGGGCGACAGAGCAAGACTCTGTCTCAAAAGAAAGTGTCAAACTATTTTCTCTATTTTTTAAAAGTGGTTATACAATTTTATGCTTCCATAAAAATGGAAGAGAGTTTCTGTTACTTTACCCTCTCCTTACTTATTTTGATAGGACACTGTTACCATCAGTTTTTCTTTCTTTCTTTCTTTCTTTTTTTTTTTTGAGACAGAGTCTCCCTCTGTCCCCCGGGCTGGAGTGCAGTGGCGCCATCTCGGCTCACTGCAAGCTCCGCCTCCCGGGTTCACGCCATTCTCCCGCCTCAGCCTCCCGAGTAGTTGGGACTACAGGCGCCCGCTACCACGCCTGGCTAATTTTTTGTATTTTCAGTAGAGACGGGGTTTCACCGTGTTAGCCAGTATGGTCTCGATCTCCTGACCTCGTGATCCGCCCCACTCGGCCTCCCAAAGTGCTGGGATTACAGGCGTGAGCCACTGCGCCCGGCCACTATCAGTTTTTCAAATGAGGATTCCTATTTGGGAGTAAAGGGGAAACTCGAAAAATGTAGCAATGGTCAGGGTCTAAGCCTGGTCTTTCGTCATCCCTGTTGCTGCTGAAGTGACCCTTGCACCAATTGCTCTACACGCTCTAGAACTCAAATATTGTAGCAAAATCACCACCTTGGAAATAGCTCCAAATTCATACTTTTTGTAACTATGACAATGTTTCATCATAATATGGATTGTATCAATTTATTATCAGTCCATGTAAGGTGGAAGCACCTATCTCCCTAATCCTCTCATTTCTATAAAGAAGAGTCCCAGCCCTGATACTATTGAAATTTTAGGCTGGATAATTCTTTATTGTGGGATGTTTAGCAGCATTCTTGGCTTCTACACACTGGATTCAGTAGCACCCACCCCCAGAATTGTGACAAACAAATGATCGCCAGATATTGTGAAATCTCCCCAACTGGGGGAGCAAAAATACTCCTTGTTGAAAACCGGTGCGGTTGAGGGTAAACAAAGGGCAGAGTGACTAGTCTATTAGGTGAGGATGAAGAAAACCTGGCTAACAGTTGACACTTTAACCACAGAGAGACTGCGCATTGACACTCAAACCACCTGTGTCCACCTCTTTGTCATTTAAATCCTCCCTCTCGGACCTGCCTGCGACCAGGCACAAATCGGTGCAGGCAAAGTTTTGCTGCAATAGGTCCTTGCTCTGTCAGATGAAGGTCTCACCTGAAAAAGGCCGAGGTGAGTCACGTTGCTTACTCTGAATCTGCATGTCTTTAATTAAGAGGGGAACGTAAAGCTAGGTCCATTTCAGCCTTCAGTGTGAGCTATGCTCTCCAAATCTGCTTTTTCATTAGCAAGGCTATATTTTGATTTGCACCAGCCTTTTGGGCTTTATTTTTCCAATTCTTGGGATCCCACAAGGGACGCCAGGTAATTAATTAGCATCCCACAAATTTCTAACAATTTGAAATAGTGTATATTTTTCTAATCAATAATTACTTTTTCTTCTGTTTTTTTTCCAAAGATGTTCTGGGATTTATCATGATTTGGAGTCTGTGTCTTGATCGTTGGTTTAAACTAAAAAAAAAATAGAGGAAATGTCAATCTACTCACTCTATTCCCTTTATACCAACCTGAACCTAATATTTAGGACCACCAAGGCTAGACATCGTTCAGCCACCTGGCAATTAGTGTGGAAAGGCTGAGGTATCACCTGTTTTCAGAAAACATCAGAGAAGCCTGGCCAGTTTCAGTAGGTGGTGGTCAAGGTATATCTTGTCTGGTGAATAAACCGTACATAGTTTTCAACAACCTGAAAACTTCCAATTAATATAAGGCCTGAAGGAAAGAAGTTGAAAGCAGCAGGCTATGTTAGATTAGGCAAGAGGGTAGTCATACTCAAAGGATGAGTGCTGTCCTAACTTGAAGAGGAGTTGCTACGTTCTGTGCCTCTCACTCGATCCACAACACTAGAGAAATACACGTAAGGAGTCTCAGACAGGTACTCAGAAAAAGACACATGGAGACACACACAGACACTCACAAATAAACACAGTTACTCACAGATAGAACCACATATACAGAGTTTATTTTCTCCGTGGGACTATTACTTACACTGTATCCACACTCATCACCAAATTAACCATCTGAATGAAGTCAGGCTGTACTTTGAATCTCGAAAATATTGTTAACTATTTAAGGTTTTCAATGTTTGGGCACTGATCTTTTCCTTCTTAGTATCAATAGGTACCCCTTAATGGAATACAAAAGTGTTTCCAAAATAATAATAATGTTCTCTCTAAATTAGATTGTATGCTGCATGAGAGAAGAGACTTTGTTTTATAATTGCCATTGTATCTATCACAGCACACAAAAAGTCTGAGAATAAAAGATTTGATAGAGTGGAGTGATGGTGGGGACTTAGAGGATGACATATGAGTGCCACAGTGATTCCACAGATTTATTTAGTGTTCATTCAACACTAAATAAATAAATAAGCAATTTCTATGTCATAGGCATTGTGCAAATTTTCAGGAATATTATATATAACAGATAAGAGACATGGTCTTCATGTTCTTACAATTTACAGTCTAATGGTGAATCCATTACAAAAAAGTTTTCAAAATAAAGTGAAAACCAGTACTCTGTGATTTCAACAATTAGCATTTACCTTTTTAAAGTAATATTATTTCCTCTTTTACCTACTAACTTATTACACAAAATATAAAACTAGTATTAGCATCTGCCTAAGTCTAACTTTTTTAAAATGTAAAATAGCAGAGTAATATATAACATCACATACACACCAAAATGCCATTTATATTTAACCAAACTTTTCATAAATAAATAATATAATGACACTGTAAACAAATCAGTGCAGTCTGTTGCTTGCTTTGTAAATTGAGTGATATTTACATGTAGCACAAGTTAGCATATTAACACACAAAACAATTCTCCAAATGAATGTAAAAGATTTGCTGCCCAGTTTAATCTGATAAGTAGTTGTAAAACAAATGTTACCTTTAATGTTATAAATTAAAATATAAGATTGCCGGCATTAACCTGCTTAATGTTGGTGCAAACTGAAGATAATTGACTTCTATTCAAAGGATCATAAGGATTACAAAAGATTATACTGACACCCTTGTAAACTGTAATTATCACCTTCCATTAATGATAACATGACTTTATATAAGTCTATTTCTCTGCTAATTAACTATAATTGAGATAATAATGCATGAGATAAATGGATTTTTTTTGGTTTAATCTCGTATAGCTCCACAATGCATACATTTTCAATTTTATTTTATTTTATTTTATTTTATTTATTTTATTTTATTTTATTTTTTGAGACACAGTTTCTCTCTGTTGCCCAGGCTGGAGTGCAATGGTGCGATCTCGGCTCAATGCAACCTCCGCCTCCCGGGTTCAAACGATTCTCCTGCCTCAGCCTCCCGAGTAGCTGGGATTACAGGCACCCACCACCATGCCCAGCTAATTTTTGTATTTTTAGTAGAGACGGGGTTTTACTATGTTGGCCAGGCTGGTCTCGAACTCCTGACCTTGTGATCCACCCTCCTAGGCCTCCCAACATTTGTTTTTTAGTATAAGCTCATTAGCTAGTTTATGTACTAAATATAACAAGAACAGATTTTTTTGTTAAGCATCAGCCACAGCTTCTGGGGTGAGAGAAGCTGGAAGCAGAGCTGGGGTTCTCAGCACTTGGGGAGGCCCATCTGTTCAGCCAATGGGGTGAGACAGCCAGTGGCTCTTAAGAAAAATGCATGTGGACACATTCACCAATTAGAGAGCTAACTAACCTAATGACAGCTGAGCTAATCAGAATCACAGTCCTTTGAAACCCGTGGTTGGATTTACTTTTCCTTTGATACTCAAGTTACCATTGTCAAGTTGCATACTCAATGTTGTCCACCTGAGGATTCAGACTGTATGCCATTTCTCCAGCAACTACAGTCCTATTTTTTGTAAGTCCATTTTCCTCATAAGAATCTAGCCATGCACTGGCCAAGATAAAATTAATGAAAAAATGTATATTTACAATGTGAGGGTGATAAGAATTAATAAAGTAGCAAATTCTCACTTGTCTCAAGACAATTATTGTTCAAATAACAAATTCAGGTGGTTATAGCAAAAAGGAAATCTGGGATAATCATCCTGGATTATACTAAATGCGAAAGAGATGAATAATATGAATTTCTCAGAAATGGTTGAGAGAAGAAAATTGGCTGAATAAAGGACAGTTTGCGATATTTTCAAGTAAGTTGGGGAAGCTGCAGGGTTTTCATGGCTAAAGAGTGCAGAGTGTCATCAGGATATTAGTCCAGAGGGGCTAATTACAGGGGATGTAGACATGGCCCTGAGAGTGGATGATGAGAGAGGGATTCCTGTCATCTCTGAAGATGGCTATCATTTGTTGAGTCTCTATTGCATGCCAAGTGACTAAACCTCAGAACAATCCCGATGTTGAGAGTATTTATAGATGAAGAAACAGGCTTAGAGAGGTTAAGTTCCTCATACAAGGTCTCATATCTGGGATATGAAGAAACCAGGATTTGGCCCTAAACAATTTGCTCAAAACATATGAGTGCTCATTACACTATAATACAAAATATCCTTTGATTAGTTCTGCCTAAGGCTCAACTAACTTCTGTCCTTACTTAAGTATATGTATTGGGCATTTGTAATTTTTTGACTGAATAGTATTGAATTCCATATTACTAAAAGCATCCTGAGCTCACCCTGGAGTACTCTTTCATTTGTATATAGTCTTGGAGAAAGATACCAGTCCTTCCATTCCTTGTCCTTGTATGGATGGAGAAAGAGGAACTAGGAACATACTTGGGTTTAGCAAATTGAATGCTTCTTTGTAAGACTTTGACTTTTGAGAGTGAAGCCAGCAAACAACTGGGGACTTATTGCTCACAGTGGGGTTCAAATCAGACGCTGCTACTGGTTTATATTTGCTGCCCTAACTCCTAAGGATCTTTTGATTCCTGATTGTTATCCAATACTAGCTCTCAGCCTATTGTTGATTCAACTGAGTTCATAGCCTTCCAGTATATTCTTTGTGTGCTTAGGTTAATCAGAGTCAGTTTCTGTTGCTTATAACCAAGAACTCTAACAAATATTATGACACAGAGTCTGTTTTATCTCCTTGTCCAAAGCAAAGGCAACAGTAAAATGGAGAAAGAAAGAAATAAAGAAAATGTATAAATCTTAAAAATAAAGGGACCATTTCTTTAAGAAGAAGTAACATGTGAATTTTTATATCTAAAATTTCTCAGTAGATGATTAATAACAGAAGGAAAAAAACTGAATTCAGAGACTACAAGTATTAACCTCACTGAATCTATCTCTAAGAGTCAGAGCAAAAGCCACCAAAAGAGAACTTTTTTGAACTGAACAGAATAAGCACATCAGTATCACATTTTTAGAGTTTCGGATTTTCTAAAGCTCTTTCTAAAAATTGATTTGATATTTAGTATCTAATACAGATGGTCCCTGACTTATGATGGGTTGATTTGCAATTTTTCAGTTTTATAATGGTGGAAAAATGATACACATTCAGTAGAAACCATACTTCAGATTTTAAATTTTGATCTTTTCTCAGGCTAGCAACATGTGGTAAGATACTCTCTCACTATGCTGGGCAGCAGCAGGAGCCTCAGCTCACAGTCAGCCACAGGATCACAAAGGTAACCAACATGTACTCCGTAGTGTACTGTTGCCAAATGACTTTGCCAAACTGTAGGCTAATGTGAGTATTCTGAGTATGTTTAAGGTAGGCTAGGCTAAGTTATGATGTTTGGTAGGTTAGGTGTATTGAATGCATTTTCAGCTTAAGACATTTTCAACTTAATGATGGGTTTCTTGAGAAGTGACTTCATCATAAGTTGAGCAGTATCTGTTTTTGATCTTTCTTTTCTTTCTATTTTTCTCTTAGGTACTCTCCCATCTATTTAAATAGCATTATTGCTCTCTTGGTACTATATTTTTTTCCACAAATAATTGATTTTTACTAAATTAATATTTGACCTTTGGAATAAAAATCATATAATTGGATATGCCTTTAATATGCATATACCATTCTAATTCATTACAGTGAAGTCAGTCAGGGTAGTGATTTTGCTTTGAAATGAATGAATGAATTTCAATAAAGGATCCAGGATTCTGCTCAGGAAAATCGTGGAGAAACAGCTTCTTTCATGACCTTTTTGATATATTACTTTTGAATTTTGATTTTTATTGTTTACAAAGTGATTTCAGTACATGATTTCATTTGGGAACGGCATCACAACCAGCAGAGAAAAAAGTTGTTGAAAATCTCTGGAGGAAACAATTAAAATACCTTCTACCATAAAACCTTCAGATGGGGGTAAAATCTCAGCCTTCTGGGCATAAGTGGTTGGTTGAGATTAACTCTTGTTACTGGATTTAAAACTTAACTATTTTTTAATGAAATAGTTAGTCCTAAAATTGTGGTGTATATTTCTCTAGCTTCTTAGGCAGACTATGCCTGCTTAAGGGTTCCCTTTCCTACGTTCAACTCCAGAAAACTGTTTCTGCATTTTATCAGTATATGATAGCTCCGGTAGTTCTTCAAGGACTAGAAGAGTATCATATCTTGCTTTTTAATTATTTTATTTACTTTTTTTTTTTTTTTGAGACAGGGTCTCACTGTGTCACTCAAGCTGGAGTGCCATGGTGCAGGCTTGGCTCACTGCAGCCTTGACCTCTCAGGGCTCAGGTGATCCTCCCACCTCAGCCCCCCGAGTAGCTGGGACTACAGGCATGCAACACCAAACTGGCTAATTTTTGTATGTTTTGTAGAAATGGGGTTTCACCACGTTGCCCAGGCTGGTCTTGAACTCCTGGGATCAAGAGAGCTGCCTGTCTCGGCCTCCCAAAGGGCTAGGATTACAGTCGTGAGCCACCACATCTGGCCACATATTGGTTTTTTTTTAAGGAGCAATTCTCCTTCTATTTTCTTTAGTTTGTTAGTTCTAAAAGGGATAACAGTAGAGCAGAGGGGTAAGTGTGAAAGCCCTTGGAGTCAAGTCAGCTGGGTTAAAAACCATTGTTTTATCATTTACTAACCATGTGATTTTGGCTGTGAAATCTAGGCCATGTTAGTTAATTTCTCTGTCTCAGTTATGTTAGTAGTAAATTGGTGATCACAGTACATCTAACTCAGAAAACCATTCATTTATTCTTTGAACACATGTTATGAACTATTTAATACCAGGTATTGGGGATATAGAATTAAAAAAAAGGGGCAATAACACTTGTCCTCACGAAGCTCACACTCTACTGGGTAATTGCTAACCAACACTTATTTGACGCATAGAATGTCAGGCATTGTTCTAAATGCAATATTCATATATAATACATCAATATTCATATATATATAATATATGTCTATTATTAAATACACACACACTACGTATATACATGCACTCTCACTTAAACTTGACAACCACAACCACTTCATGGGACAGATAATAAAAACTGATATTTCTATTACTTTAAGCATATTACCTGTAGGCATTAAGTAACTTGCTCAAGATCCCACAGGATTAGAAGAAAATATGTAAAGTGCTCAGAGAATTGCCTGTTACAAAGAAAGAGACAGATATATAGATAAATTCATTTTTGCTTAATATTGTTATGTATTTTTCCTTCAAAAATGTGAAAGTATTCAAACAACACAGAAATATGTGAAGTAAAAAAAAAGAGTCATTTCTACTGTTAAGTGTTTGGCTTTTAACTTATATGACATAATATCAAATAAACATTATAATATTTGTAATATCCTCCCTACCATTAAGAGTTTGGCTTATAATTTATTTGATGGACTTCTCTTCCTTGGTCATATGTGAAATTAAGTCCCAGAATTTAATAAGCCAAAAATCTAATTACAATCAGTATTCATCTAGGAAATATCAAGTAATATCTGATATCAAAGAAAATCACCAGTAGGAAAGAAATAGCTTGTAGAAGGAGCAGTATAAGGGGATAAGCAATTTCATAATTTGCATTTTTTCATTCACCTTCTCATAAGGATGATACTATGAAATATCTCTTTTCTCTGTAGTACAGAAAAGAAAGCTTTTCTTTTGCCTAATTAGATTGACTACCAATGAATTGTGAACTTTAAATATAAGTAGTTATTTAGTTAACAACATACTTCAGGGCATATGCTCATTTTTATGTATGAGAAGTCACAATCATAACTCTCATGGAACCAAGAGAAGAATTATTCTCTCCATCTTTTACACATTTTATACCAAAATTGCCTGAGAACCTAGCTCTAATTTTTACTTTCTTTCTTCCATTTTCATTCAGCCCAACTAAAAGGCAATAAATTTCATTTTACATAAATTAGTGTTTTGCTATTGTAATTAACAAGAAAATACTCTTGGTAACATGATTAACTAATAAAAATCCCCTCAAATTTTTAAAACACTAATAGTCTTTCTCTGCTTTTTAAATAAGTAAATGCTTATTGAAGAACCATAAACCAAATGAAAATGTAATCTTTCAAGGTGAGATAATACTTAATAGGTACCATATAGGCCTAAACAGAACTGTGTGCAAATGTGAACTATTATATTCCAGATGTTACCTAGTAAAAGAGAGGGTACTATTGTGGGAAAAATATGGTGTGTGCATAAAAAGCGATGTTCAAAGCAATCAGGACAGAGATAGAATTCAAGAGCTTCTATTAGTATTTTTTAGTCTAATAAATGGAAAGACATAAGGCTTTACTAATATTTAATATGTTAATAACATTAAAAAAGAGCTAAAAATAATCCCTGTGAATAAATTTGCATTGAAGATAAGCAGAAGTAAAGATAAAATAGAGAAAACAATGTTTCCCCCATTCCAATGTCCTCTTCATCAACCACATTAAGAGGTAGAACAATTACCCCATCACATCTGTCATGAAGCTCCTTTAAAAATGAAGCTATAAAGATTATTTGAAGTGTGGATTCACATCTACATCATTAATAATGAAACTCACCCTAGATGTGTCTTGTGCCTTGAAATATTAGTAATTCTTGAGATATTAGCAAGACATCTTGTCCCTAGGTAGATATAGTGTATAATGTATGTATAACATGTGCACACACACAGACACACACACATGCACTAGGAATACTTTTCCACATTTTTTTTTCCTGCACAATCAAAAAAATTTGGAGAACATTCATCTTGTGAGGACAATAGCCATTCTGCCTTTTTATTGAAGGATGAATTTATCAGAAGGAAGGTACCATATACACCAGAGGTTGGAGGTGCATCTTCTTTGAGCCAAATCATTCACAGAAATATTTTAAAGCAGCATACACAGTATTTTTTTTTTTTTTACTTAGTTGCTTACATTTAAAACTCTTGGGATTTTTGCATTTTAAAAATACGGATTTTTTTTCTCTTGCAAAGTCCTGCCAATAATATGCATGCTTTTCTGCATGGGAACCATCTTCAGAGAGCATTCTTTGAAGTTCTCTACAGTTTCCATTACTCCCTATAGTATTATACCCTACTTGTTTTACTCATTTACGTTGCTGTTTGCTTTGGAGTCTGTGAACTCCCCTTTTGAATGCAGAGGAGACCCTGTGTGAAAGTTTAGATGTTTGTCTCTTGTAAACCTCTTGTTGAAATTTGACCTTCAAGGTTAGAGATAGAGCCTAATGGGAGGTGTTTGGGTCATGAGGGTGGATGCCTCTTGCATAGACTATTACTCTCCCTGAGGGTGGGCAAGGAGTGAGTGAGTTTTTGCTCTATTAGTTCCTGAGTAATCTGATTGTTAAAAGGAGTCTGGCATCTCCATTCCCCCTGCACCTTTGCCCCACTGTCTCTTACTTCTTCTGTCAACATGTGATCTCTGCACATGTTGGCTCCTCTTTACCTTCCACCATAGTGGAAGCATCTTGAGGCCTTCACCAAAAGCAGGTGCTGATGCCATGCTTCCTGTACAACCTGCAGAACTGTGAGCCAAGTAAACCTCTTTCCTTTATAAATTATCCAGTCTCAGGTATTCCTCTGTAGTAACACAAATGAACTAAAACACCCTGGAAGAGGATAGAGCCATCAGAAAGTAGAAGTCTGATACAAATGTGGTATCCCTTATCCAAAATGCTTGGGAACAAAAGTGTTTTGGATTTTGGATTTGTTTGGATTTTGGAATATTTGCCTATACATAATGAGATATCCTGGGAATGGGACCAAGCCTAAACATTAAATTTATGTATGTTATATATACACCCTATATATATAGTCTGAGCATAATTTCATACAACATCTTAAATAATTGTGTGCATGAAACAAAGGTTTGTCTGTGACCTGTCACATGAGGTCAGGTGTAGAATTTTCCATTTTAAATGTCATGGCATCAGGTAGGTGCTCTAAAAGTTTTGGAGTTTGGAGCATTTTGAATTTTGGATTTTTGGGTTAGAAATGCCCAAACCATACCTAAATTACCATGTAGAAAGCTTTCTGTATTTCTGCTGTGATAAGCTAGAAAGATTTGGGCAGCTCTTCTTGTTGCAGCAATAAGCAGCAGCACAGTGACAACTACATGCTAATATTTCTGAAATTCCTATGTCATGTTCTGATGAATTTAGAAAGCACTGTTATGTTTACAGATAAATGTCACAGAAAAATAATTAAACAAAATTGCATCTGCAGATACAGTTTGTTCACGTTAAAAAAAAAACTAGATAAGGAAAAAATTATTTGTTGTCAAATTAGTTACTTTTTATTTTTAGAAAATAAAACTAAACAATATCAGTGAGGTGTTTATGAATCATTAACAAAGTGGAAAATTAAATCATGGCTCTGCATCTCTGTTACATTAAAGAGTTAAAGACTTTTAAAAATAAAATAAAACACACTTAAGGTCATGTGTAAAATTCTGAAACTCATGAAATTTCTATAACTGGGTTAACAAAATTATTTTATCTCTTTCTACTCCCAGATTTTTGTCCTCTTTTATTTTTAGTGTCTGTAGATGCAACACCTTAACAAACATGGAAGATAAAGTACATAATGGTTCTTTGTAGATGAAATAAATTAAAAACATGTATTTGCCAGGGGATAGGCTTTAGAAAAACCCCAGGTAGCAGATTATTGTCAAAGACGCTTTATTTCAATATAAAATGTGACAGTAAAAAAGAAATTAGTCCAACCCTGCTCAACTTGAAAGGGGAATAAATATGTCAGAATGAAGCTGTCCCAGCATGTGTGCTGTGTATTTAGTGGGAGAAATAGACTCAATCTTATGTATGGGAAATGTGTGTATCGATTGTTTTTACCTGGCAAGAAGTGTATGTACCTGGGTGTGCATGTGTGTGTGTGTGTGTGTGTGTGTGTGTCTTGGGAGTGAGTATAAGGAAGGGTGTGAGGTTAGTTTGCATATGTAGAGGCCAGAATAGAGTTGATCAGTCATAGAAACTGGACAAACTGAAGGAAAATGTCAGGTGAGAAGGAGAAGGGAATTGGAGTGGGGCATTAAGGCAGAAACTCTGGAAGGGACTTGCTGGTCATCTTCAGTCATACAATTGCTTACTAGGGGAGAATTATCTGGAATCTGAGGCAACACTGAACCAAGATCAGATGGACAGAGGGTCAAACTGCAGAATGAGCCCTGCTCTAAATCAGCACTGTGACATCTTTAACTTTGCTCACAGCCTCTCCAACTCACTGATTTTTACTTGCTTCTTTGAAGCACCATGGGATTTCCCAACCCTCACAAGAAAGAGGTGATTGCCTGCTCTAATATACCTTAGGTCCCAACAAGGAAATATTCATAGGAGCACTGTATTAAGAAAAAGTCATACTAGATCACTTACAGAGCTTCTTTTGTCTTTTTTGAGCATGAGATTATAATTTTAAAAAAATTCAGTATCTGTAGGATTTGGATTTGGAGTAGTTCCATCAATTGCAGTGGGTTTCCCACTGATTGAACTCAACCTCAGGTAATCTCCAACACTCCTTTGTACTCAGAAAGTTCTATATATTTCTTACAATTTTTTTTTTTTTTAGGAGATGAACTAAGTAACTTCAGGATATTTCTTGCAGCATACAAATTTAACGAGTCTTAAAGTAAATGACTTTTTAGGAGGGTATTAAAGTTTCCAAAACTTTACTATTTTTTATTCATACCTTTTTATTTATTAATTTGTTCACTAATTTAGCAGATAGTTGTTGAACAAATGCATTACTCTGAGTACTGGGAGTTCTAAGATGAGAGGATGTAATATCTAACCCCCAAGAATCCACAAGATTAACAAGCAGAACACAGATTTGCTAAGTACTTTGGAGGCATCTCAATTTAAATCACTCAAGTCCTGTGAGTTAGGTTGTACAGAAAAAGCAGAAAAAATTAATTGACTTGAGATATTACTTGGATTTTAGTCTCCATAACATTTCTTAAAACATTTCCTTTTAAACCAGCTTTCTCGGTTTATTGTTGTTTTGTCCTTATTGGTTAAAATAGAAATTTAAATACGTAGGATCTTGAAGGCATGTGAATTAACTTTATTTGCCATCAATCCAAACATTTGAAAGTATTTTCACCTGTTATTACTAATATGGAAGTGTTACCATGTTGAAAGGCCTACAGAAATATTTGAGTTGGAAAGATTGTCAAGTATGTCCTTAAAATAAGGTTTAAGAGTCACTTTTCCTTGCTAAAATGATAAGTTATTGACAAAAAGAGCACCTCAAACTATCTATGATTCTAAAATCATTGTCTTTATTTACACCATTCCAAAATAACCTCTAAATGATGCTAATAAAGAGGTTTCGTGATCACATAGGAATTTTATGTAATATATTCAACTTGCTCTCAACATTTCCTGAAGGAAAATCTTCTAGAAATCTCTTTGTTGGCTCAGATATTTGAATATAATCTAGGAAAGAGTAATGAACGGTAATCATGGCTACTAATGTACATTAGGACTAAGGGAAAAGAAGGAAAGATTGTATATGTTGTTTGAAAAATTTTAAGTGAAATAATTCAGAAACAGTAAGTTAAATACCGCATGTTCTTACTTATAAGTGGGAGCTAAATAATTTGTTCACATGGACATAGAGAGTGAAATAATAGACAGTGGAGACTTGGAAGGGTGTGAAGGTGGGTGGGGGGTTAGAGATGAGAAATTATTCAATGGTACACGCTGGGTGATGGTTACACTAAAAGCCTAGACTTCTCCATTATGCAATATACCCATGTGACAAAACTGCATTTGTACCTCCTAAATCTATAAAAATAAAAAAATATATTAGGAGGCTGAGTCAGCTCTATTGCCTTGGGCTTACTTAGGAGGTAAGCAAATTAAAACTCAATTCAATGTAAATAGTAAAATAAAACAAGCTTAACCAATCAGAAATCACTAACTAAACTCGAACTAGATACTTTAACCAGTCAAATATTTTCTTTGTCTTGCTTCCTTAAACATGTTTAAAAAAAAACCCTTTCCTCCCACACTCCTTTAGGTGGAGCCCAACCGTTTGTGAGTCTGGCACTGCCCCAATTCATTAATTTCTGCTGGAATAAATTCTTTAAACTTTTCATATGGCTATGTTTATCTTAAAAATGCATATGCCGGCCAGGCACGGTGGATCACGACTGTAATCTCAGCACTTTGGGAGGCCGAGACGGGAGGATCAGTTGAGGTCTGGAGTTTAAGACCAGCCTGGCCAACATGGTGAAGTCTCATCTCTACTAAAAAAACAAAAAACAAAAACAAATAAAATACAAAAATTAGCAAGGCATGGTGATGCGCATCTGTAGTCCCAACTACTCAGGAGGCTGAGGCACAAGAATCACTTGAACCTGAGAGGTGGAGCCAAGTTCATTCCACCACACTCCAGCCTGGGTGACAGAATGAGACTCTGTCTTAAAAAAAAAAAAATTCATATGCTGTGTATGTTTATCTTAAAACAAAACATATTTAACATTCATTACAGTAATAAAGTCTAGATGCTTTCAGGAAGACTGCATTTGTATGTATTTTAGTAAATAGATGATCACATATGACACTTTAAAATAGATTATATTTTCATTAAAATAACTGGATTTATGAGTCCACGCAACAGGGTATCACATAGTAATTTATATTAAAGGGAACAACATATTGTTCAAATAATATTTATAGTTTTGGCCCAAAATTTATAGGTTTATTTTGTTCTTTAATTGGTTTTTAATTCAATAATGTCATAATATGAAGATAAAGAGAAATAAATGATTGGTTCCACGTATTTGTTCTAGTGATGCAATTTTTCTTAAAGAGAAGCTTAAGAAAGTTCTTGTCATAATGCAGAGAGACAAGAACTTAGATCAGCAGACTGAATAGAAGGAAAGAAGTGGTAAAGCATAGTGGTTAGAGGCTGGGCTGTGGGGACACACCTTCTAAATTCAAATCCCAGCTGAGTTATTTTCTACCTGTGCAACTTTAAGCAAGAAACTACCTCTCAGTGAATCAGTTTTCTCATTTACATGTCATAGTACCCCATAGGTCTATTAGAAGATGAAATGAGTTTCTTACTGTTCTTATTATTACTCCAGCTACTACCACCACCACCTTCATCATTGCTACTGCTGCTACTGCTGTAAGATAACTAAGAAAGAGTTGAATTTTTTAGAAGTCAACTAAGGCAGAAATTGTCACATGGATGTCATAATTCTAAAGTAATAGTGTACAGAGCCTAATGTAGTCAAAGATTTAGGAGTAGTGTAAACAAGTTAGGTGGTGAGCTATAGAAGAGGTTCATATTTGGATGTCTAGTTTATGGTCTGTCAGGCTCCTCTAGACCCAATGTTTCAGCTGTGGCTGCATGGTAAGTGTTTAACCAGGATGGGGAAAAATAGAAGTATTGAAGTCAGTATGTGGTCTGCATCCAATTCTTATCAAATGAGATTCTTAACCACAATAACTTAGTTTTCTTGTCTTTAAGATGAAGGTGTTAGTAGAGGACTCTAAGGTCTGAGCTTTAGTATTCCGACTTCTTAGGAGGTACATGATTTGCTCATGTCTACACGGTTTGTGAGTCTTAAGAGTTAGAACTCAAACCAAGTGTGTAAAAACATTATAAATGTATTGAAATAATATTAATCTTCATTAACTTTAGTTTGGAGATGCCTTAGTACTCAAATAGAAACATAAAGTTAACAAAATCACAAACATCTGATAGTCATAAGGTGATTAAGAGTCTGAGTTTGGATTTATTCCTCACTGTGCAGTATTTCAAATTGGGGCACTAGGTCCAAAAGATTGCCTTGACTTAAAAAGAGAAAACAGAGCACTGTTCTTGGCTGGGTTTAGTAAATAGCTTAAAAGAGACGAACAAAATGCCACTTCCTGAGATTTTCATCACTACGCTTTCAGCTCTCTGGGGTCTAAAAGGTACAGGGGAAGTTTTAGCAGACCTTCACCATTAGTAAGTGGTATGCATGGTGATGGAAATTAGCTTGACATATCTCAGGGAACTTAGGGTTGACAGAGATAAGTTTTGGGTCTAGTCAAATTGAGGGAGGCTTCATATCAGTCATACCATTCTAAGTTGAACCTTAACAATTGAAAAAGTATTAAGTGAAAAAGTTACCTTTGGGTATATTTTATTACTTTTTAAAAGTAATTGCTGCCTCTCCCACTCTGTTGACATGAGCCTAGACTTTGTGTCTTGCTTTGGTAAATGAAATGTGAGTAATGTGATGTGTTTCACCTTATAGAAGAAAATTTACAGGCTCTCGCCTGATTCCACCGCTGCTCTTTTCCCTCTGCCATAACAATAACATGTCACTGACAGAGATTGTTGCTATAGTGCGGGACCCCAAATAGAACAAATCAAGGTGGACAAGTAATAAAAATAAATATAAGCAAGATATAAACTTGTTGTTGAAAGTCATTGAGATTTGGGGACAGTTTGTTGTTATAGGGTAAGCTAGGAGAGCCCATTTAATACACTCTTCCTCCAGCAAAGATACTTCTATTTGGTTATATTTAGAGGTATTGTTCTTGGTAAAACAATCTTTTGGCGGGCAATCTCTGTGTCAATCTGAATTTACTATTAAATTTTTGCCCAAAATATCAATATGTTCTCAATAAGAACCATTTGCCTAATAGACATAATCAGAAATGATGCAATTTTTTTCCACTATAGCCCAAGTTAATTATAAATCGGAGTAATAGTTCATTTGGCATAGAATGGGCATGGAAATAGAAAGGCGTTTTTTTTTTTTTCTTTCTGAAAAAAAGAAGCCTTCGTTGAAAGTTAAATGCAATGAAATTAATTTTGCAATTATTTATATTGATGCTTGGAATCAATGCTTGGATTAATTGACATGTAGTTTCTGTTTCATCTTCCATGACTGTTTCATTACTTTTTGAAGAGGTAGACTGGCATTCCTCATGCCCTTTGAACACAAAGAGAAAACATTTTCAGCATGATGAATGACAGCTGTAAATGAAATGGCTCAGCAAAAGTAAATCCAATTTACTTTCTTTGAAAGTACAAATAGTTTGAATAACCACAAAGTTTACAATTATGGTTGGCTAATCTTTGATTCTGTCTCACTCTTCTCATATAGCATCTTTTTTGAGTCTGGGGCATTATTCCAGAGAAACAATTCCAAACAGTAATGAATTAGTTCTAAACAAGAAAAGTAATCAGAGCCTTTAGAAAAAATTAAGAGAAATTCAGGGCTGGAAAACATAAGTGGACAAAAAATTCACAAGAGCTTTTCAAGATAATAATATATTACCTTGATACCCATTGATGGTACTCATTTATAATATTTTGGAAGAAAGTTTATAAAAGCAATGTGCTGTTATGTCTATAGATTCAACCTCAAGGTTTGACCTTTTGATCTTTTTAGATCTGTTTTACAGAGGCTGATGAAACCCACTGCTCACTGAGAAAAAAAGAATAAAGTCATAAATAATCTGGTTTATCACTGAAACTGCTTCTGATTTAAAGATAATAAGGTGATATTAGTCAGGTTAGGGTAGCCTTATGCTGTAGTAAACAATTCAAAAATTACTACTTCTTATTCATACAACTATCCCATTCAGATCAGCAGGGACTTCTGTTTAACCTAGTCACTCAGGGACACAGGTTGTTGAAGAATTTACCGTTTCTCCTGTAGAGACAGCATCTGGAACACAGGATTCCCAAATTTTTCAGATAGCACAGCCAGAGAGATGAAATGCTGGAGAGATTTTCACGAGAAGTTAAAATGTTTTGGTCTAGAAGAAATGCATGAAACAATTAGCCAAAACGATTGCATGGCCTTGATAAATTCAGAAAAGTGAGGAAATAAAATTATCCTCCTGTTGACCTAGAAGAAGAAAATGAGCTATAAAGCAGCTCTAGAGAGCTTGACTATAGAAGTGAGGAGACCAACCTTAAAAAACCTACTGACCTTGCAATGAAAAGGCATGATAACCAGACAAATACAATGAAATAATGTACCATTATTGTAAGTAGAATTTGGGAGAATCTATAAACCAGAATAGAATATTTGCCTTAGAGAACTGTCTTTACAGCTGTGTCTTAAAAACCAGTCATTTATCCATTGTTTTGAAACTTATGTTTTGATTCTAAGGTATTTTAAATGTTGTTATTAAACTGGAAAACAGATCATGGCATTTTCAAAAAATCAGCAGCCTGTATCTGTAGTCAAGCTTTTTAAATAGAAAGAATTATAGTAACAAGAAAAGGAATACTTTTCCAATATATGGGTATTGTCATTGGTAGGAATAAAATAAGAAGAAAATTGGTGGTAGAGAGATATTTATATTTACTGAATAAAAGACGGTAACTGAGGTTGAGAGAGATCAATTGCATCATGCTGGGTAATTTCTTCTTCTATTTCTGCTATGAAACCAGGCAAAAACAAAGAGAAGACTATTTGCGAAAACCACAAGATCTTTTAGTTTATCAAGAATGTCAGTGAAGTTGTATATGTCACTTAGAAACATAGTAGCAGAATGAGTTAGTTTAATTCATGCTTATGTGTAAAAATTAGATGATGGGCCTGGGCCTCAGTGAATTTTAAAATCTCCCTCAGGTGAGTTTAATGTGGAACCTTAGCAGTGAAACCATTGCTATAAGCAGATCAGAGATCATGTCTTGTTTTGTGCACCATTCTTTCTCCAGAGTCTAGCATAATCCTTAGCATATAGTAGGCATTCAATAGCCATCTGCAGAATAAAGGAATATAGATGGAATGAGTATATTTGAAAAAAATATAGAGCACTGTATAGATAGAAGCCAACAAAGGCTTAAAATGAGAAGTGTGTTTATAATATTAAATGAGTTAAATTAAATGATAGTCAACTGTCTTCAACATTGATTAGACAGTGTCACAGGAGACATGTCAATTAATTTTCTAGTGATGAATCTCATTACATAATTAAATGGAAGGTCATCTTCTCCCTCTTTCTGAGAATCATGATATAGCATGTATTGACACTCATGTAAGTATGATCCACTCTTTATTTAGATGCCTGAGGTTCCAGATAAGCTGAATCTGTTTTGAGAGAGCTATAATTAAACAACCCTTTATAAGGGTAATAAAATATAAAGACTACTATAATAACATGCTCAGAATTACTTTGGTTTAACTCACACAATTTCTTTCCACTTGTCAATTTTTTTATCTTTTCCTTTAAAAAAATTAATTAATTTTAATTAACAAATAAAAATTGTATGTATTTATGGTGTTTATATGGCGTTTTGAAATATGTATAAAGAGTGACAGAGTAAGATGGCAGAGTAGGATTCTCCAGCGATTGATCGATTGTTCTCCCACAGAAACATCAATTCAAACAACTATCCACACTCAAACAAATCTTCATGAGATGTAAGAAAACCAGAAGAGAGATCACAGTACTACCTGGTCTTATCATAATAACAGGAAAAGACTAATTGAAGGCAGTAGAATGGACAGCCTCACATTTCCCACATCACCCCTCCCCGAATCCCAGGCAGTAAAGCAGAGAGAGATACCATTTGCTTGAGGGAAGGAAAAAAATATAAGCATAAGATTTTGCCTTGGAACCCTGTAGGGGGGCTGCCATAGTGAAACCCTGCACTAGGCAAAAGCCTCTAGTCCTAGACATCAGGCTAACACTCATGGATCCACCCTGGCAAGAGACAGGTACCTGTTGTCCCAGTGGGATATACTCAAGATCCGACCTGCATCATCATCAGCTGAATACAGTGGCCTTGGGCCCTGAATTAAGTGGCAGGCAGGCTGCAGGCCTTGGGCATGCTCTAGGGCTGCACTGGTGTCAGTGGCAGTAGGATTTGGCAAACTAGGACTGTGTCAGTCTCTGTGACCATGGAATTGCCTACATCACTCCTCCTCCAACCCTAGGTATTGCAGTGCTGAGAGAGACACTGTCCACTTGGGGAAAGGAGAAGGAAGTAAGCATAAGTCTTTGCCTTGGAACCTCCACTAGGCCCACCACAGTAAAACTCAGTACTAGGCAAAATCCCATGGACCCTGACACCAGATTGCGCCTCTGAGCAGAGCCTTTAGAACTGCTACAGTGCCAAATGGGAGCTCAGGGCTCAGTGCCAGACAGGAACCCAGGAACCTGGAAAGACAAACTTGAAATCTGGCCTATATCACCACTAGTCAACTATAGCAACCTTGGGCGTTAAATAAACCTCAGTGTTGGGTAAGCTATAGAAACTGCAGGACTTGGGCATGCCCCAGCGCTGCACTGGTCTTGGCAGTAATGAGCTTTAGGTGTGACCCTGCACTGTATTCAGCCTTTGTGGCCAAAGAATTTCAGCCATGGCAGTCCTGGGCTTAGTGTACCCCCTAGTGCCTCAAGATTAAAATATAAGTAATGGATTTAGGGATCTCACGAATCAACGTACCCTAAATCTCTGGACAAGTTTAGTGCTGAAGGAAGCTCCTAAACAATGCAAGACTGAAGACTAGAACAGATACCTACATAAATGTGCAGACATCAATAAACAGCTACAAATATGAAAATCAATCAGGGAAATATGATATGACCAAATGAATGAACTGAGATGTCAATGACTGACACTAAAGAGATGGAGGTGGAAGATTTTCCTGACAAAACATTAAAAATAGGTATTTTAAGGAAACAGCAACTTCAAGAAAATACATAGGAACAACTCAGAAATTTACCAGAAAATTTTAACAGAGAATTGGAAAAAAAGGAAAAAAAAAAAAAAAGACAACAAATCCTGGAGCTGAAAATTACAATGAACAAAACAAAAAATGCAATAGAGAGCATCAGTAGCATAATTGATTAAATAGAAGAATCTATGAAATCAAAGACCAGTTAATTAAAAATATAGACTCAGAGGGAAAAAAAGAAATAAAGCTTAAAAGATTTATGGGATGGCATCAAAAGAGAAAACTGATGAGGCATTAGTGTGTAAGAGGAAATAGAGGAACAGAAAGGGGTAGAAAGCTTCTTTAAAGAAATAACAACAGAAAAATCTGGAAAAACATGTAAATATCCTGGTACAGGAAGGTCGTTTCCTATCACGTTCAATACAAATAAGACTACCTAATGGCATGTTCTAATTAATGTGTCAAAGATCAACGACAAAGAGAATCCTAAAAACAGTAAGATAAAATAAATAAGTAACACATAAGGAAGTTCCAGTATGCTTAACAGTAGACTTCTAAGCAAAAATTTTACAGGCCAGGGGAGAGTGGATTGATATATTCAAAGTGCTGGAGGAAAAAAATTGCCAACCAAAAATATCATACCCAGCAAAGCTGTCTTTCTGGGATGAAAGAGAGATAAAGACTTTTCTGGAAAAGCAAAAGCTGAGCAAATTCACCTCCAGACCTGTCTTATAAGAAATGCTAAAGAGAGGTCTTCAAAAAAAAAAAAATAATAAAGATGCTGATGAATAACATGAAAACATCTAAAAGTACATAATCCACTGGTAAAAGTAAAATTCTGAATACTCTAATAATGTGATGGTGGTGTATAAATCACTTATATATTTAGCACAGAGGTTAAAAAACAAAACAATTAAAATAATAACTTCAATGATTTGTTAAGGGATATATAATATAAAAGATGCAAATTGTGACATCAAAATATGGGAGGGTGGAGTTAAAAAGTAGAGAAAGAGTAGAAGATTTTTCTCTTTTATTTTTATTTGCAATCAAAATTAGGTTGTGAATATTTTAAAATAATCTTTTTGTAGCTATAAGATGTTTTTTGTAAGCCTCATGGTAATCACAAGGACCTACAAGAGATATGCCAAAAAAAAAAGAATCAAAACATTCTACTAGAAAAAAATCACTTAACCTCAAATAAAGAGAGTAATAGAAGAAAGACAGTAATGGAGGAAGAAAGGAAGAATGAATCTGTAAAACAACCAGAAAACAAATCAAACTAGCAGCAGTAAGCCCTTACCTATCAATAATTACCTTGAATGTAAATGGATTAAATTCTCCAATTAAAAGACACAGAGTGGCCAAATGAGTAAAAAACAAAACCCAACAATATTCTGGCTGCAACAGACTCACTTCACCTGTAAGAATACACATAAACTGAAAGTACAGAGATGAATAAAGATATTGTATGTGAATGGAAACCGAAAGAAATCAGGAGTAGCTATACTTATATCAGATAAAATAGATGTTAAATTAATAACTGTAAAAAGAGACAAAGAATGTCATTATATAATGGTAAAGGGATTGATTCAGCAATAGGATATAACAATTATAAAATATATGCACCCAACATTGGAACACCTAAATATATAAAACCAATATTAATAGATCAAAGAAAAAGAGGCTGTAATACAATAACAGTAGGCAACTTCAACACTTCAACACTCCACTTTCAGCAATGAACAGATCATCCAGACAGAAAATAAGGGGAAAAAATATCAGATTTAAACTGCACTGTAGACAAATGAACCTAACTGACATTTATAGCATTCCACCCAACAGCTACCGAATACACATTTTTTTAAAACTGTGGTTGACTATGGGTAACTGAAACTGCAAGAGCAAAGCCACAGATAAACGAGGAATGATTATATATCAGAATGTCTCAGAAAATGTGCATTTTTCATGATTTATATAATCAAACCTATAACAAGTACCATTGTTCTAAAGATAACCGTTCTATTGAAAGTTACAGCTATACTGAAAATAATGTTTTTTCTACCTTTTGAAAATATCTTTGGGCATTTTAAATATGCCTTTAGAAGTCAAATACATTTGGACATATAAATTCAAATTCTACATGTCTGGCACTGTCCTAGGATTCTGAGATACAAAATGACATAGGTATTGATCCTACTTTCAGGGAGCTCAGAAACTAGTGAAGGAGAGAGATTTTTTAAAAATGAGTATTTAAAACTCAGTATGAACTGGGAGACATATGTCCTGGCCCAAAGCAGGAATTCTAAGGAAAAAAAAATTGCTGGAGGACTTTTTCTCTTGGATAACCTTTTGGGTAAATTACTATCTATAGTGGAAGTGATCCCTGATTTTGGTATGGAATAATATTAAGGTATTTTCCAAGTGAACCAGGAAAAAGGCATTCTAGGATGAACAGAAGGGTATGCAAATATACAGAAGCACCAAATTGTATGCACAGTTAGAAAGTGCAAGTAGCTCTATAATCTTTGGACACATATTTTGACCAGGAGGGGTCATTATAGTCGGAAATACAAGGCTAGATTATAAAGGGTGTTTTGTGTCATGGGAAGAATCTAGAACTATTCTGACAGCTTTTACAGGGAGCTTGTTAGCTTATGACTGCAGAGAGAATACACCCTTCAACTAAAAAATGCAATGTGAGTTCATTGGATAGATGGTGGTAACGTCTTTTATTGGCAAATTAGAGAACCTCAGCAGACTAAATTGATGTCAAATGACCAACTTGCTCTTTTACTTTTAAAATACTGGGAAATCTGAAATGAATCAGCTCCCCATGAGCACATTTCATTTTTTTATTGTCACCTGGGGAATGTTAATGCTTTTGGACTGCTGCCTGCAGCCTTGGCCTCACTACCTAAGTAGATATTTGGTGATAGCAGTGTACCCTCATAAAGACAGACTGCTGATTACATTTCCATTAAAGACCACAGCCAAGTCTGTCTGCTAATTTCCCTGCCAAAAGCAGTTAGATTTTTACAGTGGCCAGTTTAGTATGGAAAAGAACCACTTTTGTTGTCAGAGTGCAAAGAGATAGCATAAGAAATTTGAGATTGTGGCCTTTATTCAACAATATCCAAAATACATTTTCTAAAATAGACTTTACGTATTATAATTTTTTAAAACACCTACCTTTCTTTATGGAAAGTTATATTATTGTCTATGCTTTCAAATTCTATTTATCCACTGCAAGTATAAAAATGAAAGAAAAATGAATTTAGAGTAGAGAATATCATTTCAGTCATTCATTCATCAAACATCTAAATAACATTTATTATGTTCTAGGCATTGTGCTAGGTGCCATGGCTTACAAAATGAATGTGGCACAATGGTTACACTAAAAAAGCTTAGAATCCAAGCATGCCAACCTTGAGTGTAAAGCATTTTGATAATAAATAAAAAACCGAAAATTCTTATAAAGGAAAGACAATCTATTATAGCACTATATTTAGCAAAAGAAACTGTAAATTAAATTCTAGGGTCAAGATTATCATTAGTAGTAGGTTTAATTATAATATAGACCCTGTGACAACAAATGTTACAATTTCATCATCATTGTTATTTTTGGATTTTTGTTGTGAACTGAATGTGACCAATCAAAATTTATATGTTGTAGCCCTAACCCCAACAATGTGGTGGTATTTAGAAATGGAACTTTGGGGATGTGATTAGAGTTAGATGAGGTTATGAGGATGGGCTGTTATGACAGAATTGGTGTCCTTATGGGAAGAGACATAGAAGAGCTAGCCCTCTATCTGGCTCTCTCTGTGTGCACCTACCAAGGGAAGGTCAGGTAAGCACACAGCAGGAAGGTAATCATCTGCAAGCCATGAAGATAGCCAGAACCTGAACATACTGGCACCTAGATCTCAGCTATCCAAGCTATCAGTGAGAATATAAATTTCTGTTTTTATAGCCTCCCAGTCTATAGTATTGTGTTATGGTAGCCGAAGCTGACAAATATACCCATCCTATGGTAGGCAACATGCTTAGTGCTTTCTTTTCATTTTTTCCAATGCTCATCATAAATCTTCAAGGCAACTATTACTGTCCTGATTTTGGAGGCATGTAATCTGAGGTTAGGAGGCCTAAACAAATTGCTTGGATGGTATAGCTAATAAGTAGCAAGTGAGGATTTAAGCCTATATTCATGTTATCTCCACCACTAAAAGATACCACTTCATGGCATGGATTCTGTCTCAGTCTGGCTTTTATTATTGTAACACAATACCACAGACTGAGTAATTTAGGATAAAAATAAATTTATTTTTTATAGTTCTGGAGGCTAAGTCCAAGGTCAAGGGGCTGCTTCTAGTTAGGGGCTTTTTCCTGAATCATGACATGGTGGAAGGCGTTACAGGGCAAGAGAAGCACACTGAGAGCCAAACTGGCTTTTATAACAGACCCACTCTTGCAATAAGTGACCCGCTCCAGGGATAGCCCATTAATCCATTAATGATTTAATCCATTTATGAGGGCAGAACCCTCATGACCCAATCACCTCTTAAAGGTCCCACCTCTTATTACCGTTACATTAGAGATTAAGTTTCAAAATAAGTTCAGAAGGGACAAACATTCAAATTATAGTATTCACCTCTGGCCTCCCCAGACTCATAATCTTCTCACATAGGAACACATTCCTTCCATGCCCATAGACCCAACGTCTTTACTCATTCCAGCACCAATTCAAAAGTCCAAAACCCAAAGTCTCAACTGTGAGCCTATACAATTAAAACAAATTATCTACTTCTAAGATACAATGGTGGGATAGTTATAGGGTACACATTCCTACTTTAAAAGGGAGAAATAGGCCAGAAGAGGGGAGTAAAATGCCCCAAGCAAGTTCAAAACCCAGCAAAGAAGACATTGATTCTTAAAGCTGACTTCATGTCCAGCATCCTGTGCACACTGGAGCAAGGAGTAGGCCCCCATAATGTTGGGCAATCTCACCCCTGTGGCTTTGCCAGGGTCAGCCTACACTTCAGCTCTTTTGGGTTGGAGTTGCACGCTGGTGCCTGCAGCTTTCCCTGATGGGCATTATATGCTACTAGTGGCCCTGCAATTCTGGAATCTCAAAAGCAACCCTGGCTGTCACTCCACCTTTCAGTTCAGCATTGCCCTGGTTCGGGCTCTCAGTGGTGGATCCATCCCTGCAACAAGTCTCTGCCTGGGCCCCCAGGCTTTTCAATACATCCTCTGAAATTTAGGTGGAGGCCACCCTGGTATCACAGTTTTTGCATTCTGCACAATTGCAAAATTAGCACCAGATTGACACCAAGCAAGTCTTAATGCTTGTGCTCTCTGGAGTAGCAGCACTAGCCACAACTGGGCCTGCTTGATCCATGGTATGGTGCCACCAAGGTTTACAGTTTATATCTCTCAGAGCAGCAGACTGAGCCACAGCTGGAGCAGCCGAGGAGTGTTGCAGCATGATGTAGGAAACAGAGTCCTGAGTCAACTCTGAGCAGTGAGTTTGTGGAGGGTGCCTTGGCCCTGTCCTACAAAACTGTTCTGTCCTCCTAGGCCTCTGGGCCTCTGATGTCAAGTGAGGCAGCTTCAAAGATCTCTAAAATGCCTTTGAGATTTTTCTCCCTTTGTCCTCATAAATAGCCTTTGGTTCTTTTCTATCAGTACTAATCACACCCAAACATGCTTTTTGTTCTTTACATGACCAGTCTGTGAATTTTCCAAATTTCTATATTGTACTTCTCTTTAATTATAAATTCTGTCTTTAAATCATCTGTTTGCTCCAAAATCTCACTTTAAGCAACCAAAGGTAACTATGCAGCATCTTGAATGCTTTGCAGCTTAAAAATATCTTCTGCCAGATATTCTAGTTTATCACTCTAAAGTTTGGTCTTTCACAAAGCCTCAGGGCATGGACACAGTTTTGCCAAGCACTTTGCTATCTTTTAGCAAGACAGACTTTTTTTCCATATTTCAATAACTTATTCTTTATTTCCACCTGAGACCTCATCAGCATGGCCTTTATGTTCTACATTTCTGTCAGCATTCTGGTCGTGACCACTTAAGTAATCTCTAAGAAGTTCCAGATTTTTCCTAGTCTTTTTGTCTTCTTCTAGGCCTTTATCAGAATTGCCCTTAATGCTTTTTTTATGGTATATAGGCTTTTTCTAGCTTGCACCTCCAAAATCTTCTAGTCTCAACTTATTACCCAGTTCCAAAGCCACTTCTACATTTTTAGGAATTCATTATAACAACAGCCCCACTTTTGGCATCAATTTTCTGTCTGAGTCCATTTTCTTTGGCTATAATTCAATATCAGAGACTGGGTAACTTATAATTTTTTAAAAAATGTATTTCTTACAGTTCTGGAGGCTGGGAGGTCCAAGGTCAAGGGGTTTCATTTGGTGAGGCCCTCCTTTCTGTGTCATAATGTGGTAGAAGGCATCACAGGGACAGAAGCACACTGAGAGCCAAGCTGGCTTTTATAGCAGACCCATTCTTGTGATCGCTAACCCACTACAATGAGAACCCATTAATCTATGAATGAATTAATCAATTTATGAGGGCAGACCACTTACAATCCAATCACCTCATAAAGTCTCCATTTATTAATACTGTAACATTGGAGAGTAAGTTTCAACACGAGTTTCAGAGGAGACAAACATTTAAACCGTAGTAGATTCATTAATCTTTGCTCCCATAAAGGCAAAATATTACACTCTGATATATGTATTCTTAACTTCCCATGTCTTGGCTTTTTCCATCTCATAATGTAGTAATAATCACACAAACTAATTTACCCTTGTTTCTAAGCATTCAAAATGCTTGACAATAATCTATCATTTATATAATGACTTTAGTAGGCATAGAAGCAGGAACATATTTTTTCCTGGGATCCAAATATCGTCTTCCTCACTTGCGGTTTAATTTTGTAATTATAAGAAGAAGCAACATAACAGTTGTCTGACACAATGTGATAGCACATTATCATATAATTACTGAGATTCTTTGGCTCTGTTTATGGTTATTGTGGAGATTATGTGAAGATGTGAATCAGTGACAGGCAGGACTGTCTGGTACATCATTTAGGAAGTTATACGGGTCTTCTGATGCTTTTGCTAGGTTTACTTTTCTTGTCAGTATTGACCACCCAGCTTTTCAATATGGAATGCACATATATTTGGTAGTACTTTATTTTATCAGTATATTTTGAGCTTGTAGATTTCTTTGAGTGGTTCAAATAATAAACTTTTATTCCTGGGTCAGTACCTTTCTGAGGAGGGTCTAGATGTATTCATGTTACTGCCTCATTAAAAAAAATTTTTTTTTAAAGTGTGGTTTATACTCACTGATTCTAATTTCTCTCCTCTTTGGCTTTTTAAACGAGCTTAAATTATATTTTCCCAAACTAGTCTTATCAAGGTAACTAGTGAACTTCACATTGCTCAATTCCCACCCCTCTTGACCCATCAGCAGCATTTGACACTACTGATTAGTCCTCTTCTTTGAAACACTTTCTTCTCTTAGCTTCCAGCAGATCACATGCATCTGGTTTTCTCTTTCTGGATAGCCACTGCCTAAAGTTTTCTTTGCTAATTTACCTTCACCTATTGGATGCCTACATGTTGGAACATCTCTGGGATTAGTCTTTGGACCTCTTCTATTTTTTTCTGTATCTCTCTACAGTTGGTGATTTCATATAGTCTCATGCATTTAAATGACCTGTTTTACATATCTGTTCCTTTATAAAAAATTGTTCCAGCATTTAGTGGTTTGAACCCAAAAGTATCTGAGACAGGTCTCAATCAATTTAGAAAGTTTATTTTGCCAAGATTACGAATGCACCCTTAACACAGTCTCAGGGGGTCCTGAGGACATGTGCCTAAGGTGGTTGGGGTACAGCCTGCTTTTACACCATTTAGGGAGACATAATACATCAATCAATACATGTAAGATTTACATCGGTTCAATTTGGAAGGGCTGGACAATTCAGAGCAGGGGTTTCCAGGTCATAGGTAGATTTTAAAATTTTCTGATTGGAAATTGGTTGAAAGAGTTATTGTTAGTAGAAAGGAATGTCTAGGTCCCAATAAGACATTGCAGATGAAGCCTCCAAGTAGCAGGCTTCAGAGAAAATAGATTGTAAATGTTTCTTGTAAGACTTAAGGTTTGTATTTATGTTAAATGCTGGTTGGCTTTCCTGAATTCCAAAAGGAAGGAGGGCATAATGAGGCATGTCTAACCCCCACTTCCCATCATGGCCTGAACCAGTCTTTCAGGATAACTTTGGAATGCCCTGGCGGAGAGGAAGGAGTTCATTCAGAAGATTGGTTGTGGGGGGTGGAGGGGTGGGCTGAGAATTTCATTTTTGGTTTACAGTGTTTTAAAATAATAATAGCCATTTTATTTCACTTGCCATTTCTCAGTTGAATGGCTCTGGTTTGTGATATCTTCTGAGGTTACAGTCAGTGTCAGCAAATGCAGCAATCAACTGAAGGCTTAACTAGAGACAGAGGATCTGTTTCCAAAGTGGTTCACTCACACAGCTGGTAAGTTGGTACAGATATTGTCCAGAGACTTCTCAATCCCTATGTAGACTTTTCCAAATAGGAAATCATGCACTTTCATTTCCACCATTGATCAAATAGGGCTATCCCTGATTCAGTGTGAGAATGGAGTATATAAAAATATAAATACTTGGAGGCTTGGATCACTGGGGGTATTTTTAAGGCTGTCTGCCATAGTCCACCCTCTGGCCCCTAATAATTCATAGACCTCCCACATACAAAATATACTCACCCTTTTCTAAATATTCCTCAAAATATAATTTCTTTATGTCTCAGCTGCAGGTTTTAGGTCAAACAGCTCCTTGTGTGCTTTGTTATAAGTGAATGTGTCCCCTAAGAATATATTTGTTGAAATCCTGCTGTTCAAGATGTAGGTATTATGGTATTAGGAGGTGAAGCCTTTGGATGGTGGTTAAGTTAAAAGAACAGAGCTCTCATGAATGAGATTAGTGCCCTTTAAAAGAGGCCAAGAAAGGCCCCTTGCTCCTTTTATCATATAAGGATACAGTGAGAAGACACCATCTGTGAATCAGAAAGTTGGCCTTCACCAAATGCTGAATCTGTTGGAGCCTTGATCTTGGACACCCCAGACTCTAGAACAGTGAGAAATAATTCCTGTTTATAAGCTACTCAATTTGTGTTATTTTTTTTTATTGCAGCCCAAACAGACTAAAATGTCATTAATCTAGTTCAGGTGTGATGATGCCTCAGGTTAAGTTCATAGAGTACAGCTCTTCAAGTGCAATTTCCCTGTGAACTAAAGAGATAACTTTTCTGTCCCCAAGACACCCAATGTACATTAGTTGGACAGACATAGGATAACTTCACAAAGCCCTCCATTTCAAAAAGGAGGTAAATAGACAGCCCACAGGTATAACTATTCTCAAGCAATTCTGAAATTCAGGTGGACACGTTTGCAGTCTCTTGATTAAGGCTCATGTCTACTGCCTGGGATTTATACATTTTGATGCTTAACTGCACCATCTGAGATCTTGATTCCATGTTTTAATTCATCCTTTCTTTTCACAATAAATGGCTGGTGTTGGTAACTGAGTAGTGTTTCAGGCTATTTCCAGCGCATAGTAATTTCAGAGTCCAAAGGCAGTTTTCTCTTTTGTATTATATCTGCCCCTCTACATCTAAGCTAACAGTGTTTCTACAAATACGATTCATTTGTGAGTCTCTTAAAACTACAAGATGTTGCTGAAAAAAATCATATCTCACAAACAAATGGAAAAACAATCCATGTTCATGGATTGAAAGAATCAATATCATTAAAATGGCTACACTGCCCAAGAAGCCTATAGACTCAATGTAATTTCTATCAAAATACCAATGTCATTTTTCACAGAAAAAAACTGTTTAAAAATTAATATGAAACAAAAAAAAGAGCCCAAATAACCAAAGCAATCCTAAGCAAAAAGAACAAAGCCAGAGGCATCACATTACCCAACTTCAAGCTATACTATAAGTATTTTACTGGTAAAAACAAACAAACAAAACCAGAAACCAGACACATAGATAGACCAATGAAACAAAACAGAGAACCCAGAAATAAAGTTGCACACCTACAGCCATTTTATCTTTGACAAAGTTGACAAAAATAAGCAATGGGAAAAGAATTTTCTGTTTAATAAATGGTGCTGGGATAGTTGGCTGGTCACATGCAGAAGACTGACACTGGACTCCTACATTTTACCATATCAAAACTTAACTCAAGGTGGATTAAATATTTAAATGTAAAATGTTAAAGTGTAAGAATCCTAGAAGAAAACCTAGGAAACACCATTCTGGACATTGGTCTTGAGAAAGAATTTATGACTAGGTCCTCAAAAGCAATTGTAACAAAAATGAAATTCGATGAGTGGGACCTAATTAAACAAGAGTTTCTGCACAACAAGTGAAATTATCAACAGAGAAAACAGACAACCTAAAGAATGGGAGAAAATATTCATGAACTGTGCATTCAACAATGGTCTAATATTCAGGATCTATAAGGAACAATTCAAGAGGCAAAAAACAAATAACTCCATTAAAAAGTGAGCAAAAGACATGAACATGAACAGACACTTCTCAAAAGACAGCATACAAGTGGCAAACAAACATATGAGAAAATGTTCCATATCATAAATAGTCAGAGAAACGCAAATCAAAATCAATGAGATACCATCTCACATCAGGCAGAGTGACTATTACTAAAAAGTCAAAAAACAACAGATGCTTGCAAGGCTGTGGAGAAAAGGGAACAGTTATACACTGTTGGTGGAAATGTAAATTAATGCAGCCAATGTGGAAAGCAGTCTGGAGATTTCTCAAAGAACTTAAAACAGAACTACCATTTGACCCAGCAGTCCTATTACTGGGTATACATTGAAAAGAAAATAAATCGTTCTACCAAAAAGACACACGCACTTGTATGTTCATCATAGCAATATTCACAATAGCAAATTAATGGAATTAACATAGATGCCCATCAATGATTCATTGAATGAAGAAAATGTGGTACATATACACCATGGAATACTACACAGCCATAAAAAGAACAAAATCAAGTCTCTTACAGCAACATGGATATTGCTGGAGACAATTATCCTAAATGATTAATGCAGGATAAGAAAACCAATACTACACAGTGTATACACCATGGAATACTACACAGCCATAAAAAGAACAAAATCAAGTCTCTTACAGCAACATGGATATTGCTGGAGACAATTATCCTAAATGATTAATGCAGGATAAGAAAACCAATACTACACAGTGTATACACCATGGAATACTACACAGCCATAAAAAGAACAAAATCAAGTCTCCTACAGCAACATGAATGTTGCTGGAGACAATTATCCTAAGTGATTAATGCAGGATAAGAAAACCAGTACTACACAGTGTATACACCATGGAATACTACACAGCCATAAAAAGAACAAAATCAAGTCTCCTACAGCAACATGAATGTTTCTGGAGACAATTATCCTAAGTGATTAATGCAGGATAAGAAAACCAATAACTCATGTTCTCACTTATAAGTGGGAGCTAAACATTGAGTACTCATGGATAAAAAGATGGCAAAAATAGACTGGGGACTGCAAGGGAGGTGAGGGAGAGAAGAGGGCAAGGATTGAACAACTAACTATTGGGTGCTATGCTGATTACCTGGGTGAAGAGATCAGTTGTACTGCAAACCTCAGTATTCTGCAATATACCTGTGTAACAAATCTGCACATGTACCCTCTGTATCTAAAGTGAAAGTTAAAAAAAAAAAAACAAGTAAAAAAAGTTTAAAGTAAAAAATAAGTAGAGGATAGAGCAAACAACCAGTTTAAAAAGATTCTATGGGCCTCTTAGAAATCTTATTGGGAATGTACTCAATTTTTTAAAAAGCGACATTGATAACATTTTGTCACAATAAACTTTATTTTGAACTTTCTGCATGGCTGCTGTAGAAAAACACATCTAAAATCCTTGGAAGTTCCATTGTCAATGAGTCTGTGAGGTCTTCCTTTAAGATTTTTAGAGACACTATTTGTTTTTATTTTTGATACATTACTTTAAATATTCCTAAAGTCTTGATAAAGTTCCCACAGTCACACCCTTTATCTTTAGACAGTGTTTTCCTGACAATGTCTTGGATTTGATCTTTTCCTGGAAACCATTTTCATATTTTTAGCGTTGTTTGCCATCTGGATAGGCAGGATTTAGATACAGTTTTATTTTAAACATAGAAAGCTCTGGATAATTTATATATTTAACAATTATTCTTTTAGCTTAACTTTTTTATTTTCATTTTACTACAGACAGTAAGAAGAAGCCAGGTGACACTTTCAACACTGCCTGGAAATATCTTTAGCTAAATTAGCTTGTTTATTAAGTATATTTTTTAGCTCCTATGCTGTTGCAACTGACAATTTTTTTTTTTTTTTTTTTTTTTTGAGACTGAGTCTTGCTCTGTCGCCCAGGCTAGAGTGTAGTGGCATGATCTTGGCTCACTGCAGCCTTCACCTTCTGGGTGCAAGTGATTCTCCTGTCTCAGCCTCCCAAGTAGCAGGGACTACAGGTGCGAGCCACCATGCCTGGTTAATTTTTGTATTTTTAGTAGAGACAGGGTTTCGCCATGTTGGTCAGGCTGGGCTCAAACTCCTGACCTCAAGTGATCCACCCACCTCGGCCTCCCAAAGTGCTGGGATTACAGGCTTGATCCACCATGCCTGGCCAATGTTGTTAAACTTTGTTACTATATAACAACAATTCTCCCTTTCTCCAGCTTCCAATAACATTTCTTTACTTTCATTTATGTTCTTGCTCACCATCTTTTTAAGAGCTGATGGGTTTTTGCTAACATTCTTTTCCTTGACCCTTAGAATTTCACTAACATTCTCTGAGTTTATTTCCCCACGTCTAATGTGAACATATGTATGGGCTTTGTGACTGCTTTAACTAATAAGAAGATAAAGCAGAAGTGACACTCTTCTGCTTCTGTACCTAGTCATTAAGGGTCCAAAATATTTTGTTTCTTCACAACTGGAAATATTTTGGGATACCTCCTCTTAGAATACAGCCACTACGCTGTGAGAGAACCAAGCCACAAGCAAGGAAAGGCAACCTGTAGGCATTCTGTTTACAGTCTTAGTTGAATTCCCAGATAATAGCCAGCATCAACTACCAGCTATATGACTAAGTCATCTTAGATATTCCAGTCAATCAAGCCTACAGATGATTCATTGTTACCTAAAATAAGGGGAGCAGAGCTGTCCAGCTGAGTCAAGTCAATCTACAAAAAAATCAATTTTGTTTTAAACCACTAAGTTTGGGGATACTTTTTTATACCTTAATAACTAATAGGAAAAGAACTTGGTACTAAAAGTGTGGTTATGCTTTAAGAAAAACCCAAATTATATAATATTGGCTCTGAATCTGGTAAAGTTGAATCTACAATGGCCTCAATGAGATTGTTAAAGAAGATTGGAAGGATAAGAAGAAAACTGCTATTGGAGGTTAGAGAAAAGGTAAATTGTGTTATGTAGTAGAGGAAAGTTCAGCAACACTTTTGACCACAATTTGTGATAATTTTGAAAATAGGAAATATGCATGTGGATTTAGTCAATGAAATTTTCAGGAAGAATGTTAAAGTGCCACCTGGGTTATTTAAGCTGCATATGATAAATTATGGATATTTAGGGAAAAACTAAAGATGAAATTGCATAGTTTTCAAACAGAATTTAGAGAAAAAAATTCTGCATCAGGTTTTGCTGGGCTCAAAAATGAAACTATTTCTTATTGCCAGTCTCTTCTGGAAAAAATTTTTTTCACAGAATAAAATGGCTTTAGGGAAAATAGCAAATCCAAAGCTTTGCCAACAAAACATGATTTCAGCATCAACATCTCAAAGGTGCTGCTGTAAGATCCTTTGTTAAGACCACAGAAATATTTAAGGCAGGGCCATGCAGACTCTCTCAGCTGGGCAACATAAAAGACATTTAATAACCATGACACTATTACATTTTTTAAAATTTCAAATGAGTTTATTCACATAAAATTAGAATAATTAATTTACAAGTTTTATTCCTGAGTCAAGTAAAAAAACATACTTGGTGCTTCTCAAATACTAGAGAGCTAGTAAAAAAATAGAGTGAGACTTCCAGTTTCTGGGTTCCACATGTAAACAGCTTGAAGTCACCACTCTATCTCAACAACACTTAAAAAGCTGAGAAACCTGAAAAATCAACAACCTTCTTAAATCTGAGGAGAAGTGAGGTCACCCGACAAACCACTGCCCCCAACATTTCAGAGACAGGCAGATACAAACATCAATTTATTGAACCAGAAATCTCTTTAGAACTAGTGCTAAGGTAGGAAAATGTGAACCGTAATTGATGAATTTCTGGAAGTTGAGTCTGCACAAATGTGAGTTAAAACCCCCAGGGAGACCCCGTATTCGGGGGGCCCAATGCTTTTGTGAGTTTTATCTCCAGGAGCTGACCAGGTTCTCACAGTAAGTATCAGAGAAAAATCCTCTCATACTTCCAGCACAAAAGGAAAGGAACCATTTTAAAATATGGGAGTGCTGTGTTCTTCCTTAAAAAAGGCCTATTCTCAGGAAAAACTATTTCATCAGTGACTAACCTGCTGGGGTTTTATCAAGCTTGAGGGAAGGGAAATGCCCAACTTCAGCCAACTCTTGCCATTCTATCTTACTTAAAAGAGGTGAAAAAAAACTGAGAAAAACTTGTGACGTTCACAGTCCAGAGGCATAAACTCATGAAAAGACTGAGAGCTAATAATAGGACTATAGAACACTTCTCCCCACCCCACCTTTAACTACCATGTTTTAAAAACATGTTTACCACAGTACTTCTTAGCCAGTACATCCAATTAAGCCATCAAGAAAAATTACAAGGCATACTAAAAGTCAAAAAACATAATCTGAATAAACAGGGAAAGCATCAGAACCAGGCATGGCAGAGATGTTGGAATTAAAAGACTGGGAATTTAAAACGACTATGAGTAATATGCCAAGGGCCCTAATGGATAAAGTAGAGAGCATGCAAGAACAGATGGTCAATGTAAGCAGAGAGATAAACATTCTAAGAAAAAAAAGGATTAGGATTAAAAAACAACATAACAAATGAAGGATGCTTTTGATGGGCATATTAGTAGACTGGACATCACTAAAGAAGTAATCTCTGAGCTTGAGCTATATCAATAGAAACTTGCAAAACTGAAAAGCAAAGAGAACAAAGACAAGTAAAATCAAAAGAGAATAATCAAGAACTGTGAGAGAACTACAAAAGGTGTAATTTATGTGTAATTGGAATACTAGATAGAAAGAAGAGAGAAAGGAACAGAAAAACAGTATGTAAAATAGTAGTGAGTAAGAATTTTTCCAAATTTATGTCAGACATGAAACCATAGATGTAGGAAGTTCGGAGAACATCAAGTGAAATAAATGCCAAAAAACTACACCTAGGCACATAATTCTCAAGCTACAGTAAATAAATAAATAAATAAAATAAAATAAATGAAGAAAAATATCCTGAAAGAAGCCAGAAGAAATAAATAAAACTTTTTTCTCTTACACAGGAACAAAGATAAAGATTACATCCTCCTTCTCAGAAACCATGCAAACAAGAATAGACAACACTGAAATATTTAAAGTGTTGAGTAAAAAAATTACCAACCTATAGTTCTGCATATTGTGAAATTATCCTTCAAAAGTGAAAGGGAAATACAGGCCTTCAAAAATTGAATGAATTGGCTGCCAGTAGATCTGCCTTATAAGAACTAATAAAAAAAGGTTTTTAGAGAGAAGAAAAAATATAGCTCAGAAATTTGGACTAATATAAATTAAGAATATTGGAAAAGTACTAAGTGAAGGTAAAACAAAAACTTTCATTTGTTGTATTCTTAACTAACTACATAACAGATAATAGTTTGTTCAAAATAACAATAGCAACCATAGATTTATGTACACTTATATTTATATATCAATGAATATATGTTTATGTATATACAGAATATGCTATGTGTGCTTATATTTAGTTGAAATGAATGACAGAAATGATACAAGACACAGGAGAAAAAAATTACGATTATTTGAGTACTATAAGCTACTCACAACTTATAAAGCAATATAGTATTATTTGAAGGTAGACTTGGATTAGTTATAAATGTATATTGTGAGCTTTAGGAAAACCACTAGAAAAAGTAAAATAATAAATAAATATAACTGATATGCTAAAAAATGAGGGAAACTGAATTATATAGAAGTCTCAAGGAAAACCATAATAATTTTAAAAAGAGTGGACTGCAAAAGGAGAAAAATAGAACAAAGGCATCAAATCGAATACAGCAACAAATGTGATCGGTATTAATCCAACTATATCAATAATCACACTGAACTTCAATAACCTAAATGTACCAGTTAAAAAACAAACAAACAAACAAACAAACACACACAGCCCAAGTCCCAACTGTGTGTTGTCTACAGTAAACCTATATTTATTTATTTATTTAGTTAGTTAGTTAGTTAATTAGAGACAGGGTCTTGCTCTGTTGCCCAGGCTGGAGTGCAGTGGCTCAATCACAGCTCATTGCAGCTTCGACCTCCTGGGCTCATGCAATCCTCCCACCTCAGCCTCTCATGTAGCTGGGACCACAGATGTACATCATAACATTTTGTTTTTGCAGAGATGAGGTCCCACTGTGTTGCCCAGGCTAGTCTCAAACCCCTGGGCTCAAGTGATCCTTCTTCCTTGACCTCCCAAAGTACTTGAATTACAGGCGTGAACCACTGTGTCCAGCCCAAGAAACCCACTGTAAATGTAGACATAGGTTGATTAACAGTAAATGGATAGAGAAAGATATTTCATGCCAATAAAAAATTGAAAGAAAGTAGAAATAGCTATATTAATTTCAGACAGAGCAGATTTCAAAGAAAAAAATTATCAGGTTTAAACCGGGGCATTATGTAAAAAATATAAGGGTCAATTATCCAAGAAGACATAGTAATTCTTAATGTGCATGTGTGTAACAGGAGAGTATCAAAATACGCTAGGCATAAACTGATGAAATTGTGCAGGTGATAGATTGCACTGTTAATCACCTGGGTATAATCAACACCTATAGACCATTTCATCCAATAACATCAGAATACACATTCTTCTCAAGCTCATATGGAACATTCACCAATATAGACCACATTCCCTTTAAAACATATCTTAACAAGGCTATAAAACATATCTGAACAAATTTTAAAAAATAAATATTATACAAACTCCAAAAACTTGGAATAGAGGAGAACTTTCTTAACTTGATAAAGAATATCTGCAACAAACCTACAGCTAATATCATACCTTATGGTATGAACTAGAGTCTTTCCCACTAAGATCAAGAACAAGGCAAGGATGTTCCCTCTCACCACTTCTTTTCAACATTGTACTGGAAGTCTGAGCTAATGCAATAAAACAAGAAAATAAAATATAAGTTATACTAATTGGGAAAGAAGACATAAAACTTGCCTTGTTTGTAAGACTATTTGCATTAGCACCCCAAAGAGTGAAATAGGTATAAATCTAACAGAATATTGATATGGAGATCTATTCAAGGAAAACTGTAAAACTGTTAAAAGAAATAAAAAAACTCTAATTAAATAGAGGTATGTTTTATGTTCATGGATAGGAAGACTCAATATTGTCAAGATGTTAGTTATCTCTAACTTGATCTGTAGATTAAGAAATATACCACAAAAAGGTGGGATGTTGATAATGGCTGAGGCTATGCATGTATTAATTATTGCTTTCACATTACAATGGCAGAGCTGAGTAGTTGCCACAGGGACAGTGTGGTCCACCAGTCTAAAACATTTCATATCTAGCCTGTTCAGCAAAAGTTTGCTGACTCTTGCTCTGGAGTATGTGTTTTCTTACGACAGAGCCCATAGTCTATTCCATGCCTAAAATGGGACTATACTCAGAGTCCAGTGTTACATAAGTCTCTAAATGATAGAATGAATGTATAAATGAATTAATTCTAGCAGAAACAAATAAATATTTAATACTATACCACAAGTACACAGATAATCTATGATTCATTCAATAATCTTTAAGGATATCTTCTTCAACTCAGAAAAGAAGGCTTCTTAGGAAACAATGGCATTGCCCCAGAACGTACTGATTCTCAGCCCAAGGAAGACAGGGTATAGCTCAAAGACATATGTAGGTATGGTGTTTGTCTAATGGAGTGGATTGTAACTTACTACAAAGTATGCTTAAATTTTAATAATGGAATTGTTACAACTTGGGCTAAAAGGAACAGAGATACTCAACATGATAGAATGCATGGTGCTGGTTCAGAATGACTAAGTATTCAATGGATATTTACTTTATTTGGGGGGAAATTGCAAGGATGTTTAACATAAGCTCATTTGATTTCAATTTTGTGTAGTAGATATTATTACCTCTAATTTTAAAGGGGAAAAAACATTGGCTTAGAAAGATTAAATAATTTACCAAATTTTTAATAATCAGTAAGTGTCAGTAAGTGGCAGAATTAAGAGTGAACCCCAGGTATTCTGGCCAACTTCAGTAGTTTTTCAGTGATGTGCCAGCCACTTCACGTGTTGTGATCTGTGAATAGAAACAAATGAGCAAACGTAGTTTTGTCTCATGGAAACACATATAACTAATACCAAGTCAAAAAAATCTTCAAGCAGTGAACAATGGAACACAAATTGTGTAAGGAGGGTGGAGGAGAGGAACTTGGGAAGCACAAGAGTGATGAGGATAAGTTGTGCCAATAAAGAAAGGCTTATTTGGTGGAATCAGATCTAGGCTGGATGGTGGAGAGGGCAATAGTATAGGCAGCCAGTAATGTGAATAAAGGAGTAGAAGCAGAGTGACTAAAACTCTTTCAGGCTCTTGTTCTGGCTTGAGTGGAAAGATGTGATGAAGCTTTTGGGTCTTGTTTGAAAGTTAAAGAAAGTACAACATTGGGAATAGGAAGGGAGGTGTTATTCTTTTGACATTTGGTAAATTCTTTAGATTTTAGCATTTCTAAAAAAAATCTGTGAAGAAAGTGTGAAATGCAATTAAGACAGCTCTTCCACATGTCACACTAAATAGGCAATGCCTTTGTATATTTTGGAAAGAGTATGCAGAATGCAAAAAGTTATTTGAGATTGAAAAATTATGAGCTCATTGTACAGAATGATCTGTGTTTTTTTTTTCCCCAGTATGGAGGTTGCCTCAATTGAGTGCTCCTTGGAATCTCTTCCAACAAGTCTATCAAATAGTAAAGAAGAGTGCATTTCAGCAACATTAAGAAAAGCTCATATCCTCATTACCTAATATAAACAAGAAAAAAAGATAAGAGCAAAAAGTTGAGAAGCCAAGTATAGTTAACTGCCGATACTTGCATAGTCTGTAAAAGCTAAGTACAATGTGTGAGGCTCCTCAGGGAGCCAAGGAATTGACTTTGAGTGCTGGTACATTAATCCTACTTAGAAACACTTATCATTGTAAATAATTAAAACACTCTGATTTAGATAGACAGTCTATGCTGAAAGAAGTTCCAGGAAGAGGACCAAATAAAATAATAGTCTCTATGGGATAATATGAGAATGGAGAAGTAGAGAAATCATTCTGATATTATTCCTCTTGGAAAAACAATGTCCTAAACTCTCTCAGACCTTCAGAAGAATGAATGAGGACACGTTCTTCATCAGACACTCATTGAATTGAACACAGTGGGACTTAAATGGATGCTGAGTTAAAAAGAGGTGGAGGGGAATGATAATGTAGTTGCAGCTGAGTCTCAGGTATAAGTGACCTTCTATAAGTACAGGGACTATAATACAACATGGAATAAAAAGTAGTATATATTTAATTGTACATGTCCTTCAACGTAGCTACCACAAATCCCTGAAGTAATACATGGGAAAACCAGTCTATAAAACTAGATGTCAATACATATGTTATTTCATCCAATATATATGTAAAAAGAAAGTTAAAGTTTATAAATAGCCCAGTTTTTAATGATAAATAGCCCAGTTTTTTATGGAGGAAATGCAGAATCATATTTTCCCCTCAAGTGTGGTCTTTTTCCTGGAGCCAAATTATTAGTGGAATGAATGTTCACAATGGTTGATGCATGTGGTCTGAAAGGGAATTGAATTATAATAATAAAAGGAATATAAGAAATAATAATTACTCTATTTTGGTTTGGGTAGCACATCTTTTAATGCATCTAGGGCATTTCTAAAGTCTGGCATTTTCTTTAGAAAACTACCTCGTTTAATTTTTATGCTTGACAAAATGACCTCTTAATTGTAAGATCTTTAATATCTAAAAAATGAGGTATGGAATTTAACAGTCTTTGGTCCTTTACATCACTCTGATGGAAGAGGCAATCTGATAGAGTCTCCAGTAGCAACCCATTAAAACTGTAAAACACAAAAGCCACAGTCTCTTGCCACCTAATAGGCATTTTTTCGCTGATTTAAGAGAGCCTGGATGACAAAGGATGCTTGGTGCTTTTTTGAGCTTTAAATGTGATTCTCTAAAATTTGACCTATGATGATGATTAATTTTTCATAAATCTCCATTTCACATGAATGGAACTACAGATTAAAATATGTGTTTAGTATTTTAAGTATTTCCTCAAAAAGGAGATTGCTACTACTTGTCACACCTTAAATTGTATTAGGAATGACAGCATAAATGTTCGCATTAATGATTTTTAAAATTTACTCATTTTAAACCATACAAAGAATTATGTGTGATCCTAGATGATAGCATATTTATTTATAACTCATAACCCTGAGCCATTGCTATTGATATCCGAATTTACTAATGAAGAAACTGAAGCCAAGAGCAGTGTTAACTTGAACAATTTCCTTAATTATCTCAGTTCACAAAGTGAAATTGGAATGGAAACTCAAGGCTGTCTCACTTTAAATTTCTCTTTTTTAAAAAATAATACCACCTCCCATGAGGGCAAGAGCATTCATATATTTAACATTGACTAGCAGGAAGGTTTTTTCACAATTGAAACTACTGTGACATTGACTTTTTGATGAGGCCTGGTTTCTTTTCTCCACACTGACATTCAGTAGGTTAGTAGAGAGGTGTAGCATATCTTACATTCTACTCAATCACTATGGCTAAAGGGAGAGACCATAGTTGGCATCTCAGAATAAGCTAATAGGGTGGGGAGCTTTGGCTATTCCTGAGCTTATTCAGACTCTATGTTTGGCTGAAGATCATAGTTCCTGGTTTTACTAAGTATCCATCCTCTCAACCTTGTCCAGATCATATTATCAATAAAAAAAGAGTATTTATAGAATGCATGACTACATCAAGACTTTCAGTATGTTAATAGTGGTTTTGACTGTTTTGTCTTAAATGGTTTAGTTCATTCAATACTATCATTCAACACATTGACAATCTTAAAGTATTTCTGATATTTCTGAGGTGATGACTTCCGTAATGCTTAAGCAAAATTAAACTTATTTTTAAACTATTAGTAATATTTCAGAGATAATATTTACTTCAATATGTTTTGTATTAAACTTTTTATTATAAAACCAATTCTTTTTTCGGTTAAGTTATTCTATTTAGTAAATTAAACAAAATATCAAATCTAGTTGACGTCTTCCCTCTCTAAAATCCATTCCCAGCTAGTCTCGCTATCCAAAGGAAACCACTATTAATTTTTTGTTTTTCTTTTAATTGCCTATTAAATGTCAAATAACGTACTTATTTTCTATGTGCTTTACTGATTTGTCAAATTAATACAATGCTTAATGAATCTCTACTAAGAAAATAAGAAATTATGCACATTCAACTTTTCTTTCAATTCTTTTCCATTCCGTCTCTCACTTTGTTAGTTATATTACCATTTTTATGTTGCCAAACCTTAGCATTTTCATTCTGCTATTTAAACATTAAGTCTTTTGTGCTATGTCTAGACTGATTCCAAATAATCAAATGCTAATAGGCAGCATTTACAATATGGTTTTCTAAATATTTTGTTCTATAAAGTCAGTAATATGAATGGATCCATAAAGGGGAAAATACGATGCTATGGCATTAAAAATTCATTACTTTAAAAAAAAGACTCTTCCAAATGTTTATGTTAAATAGACTCTCTTTTATTTTCTGTCCAGATTCCTGCAAGCCTTTTGGGTTATATATGGTTCATGGATGATAAATTCACTGAATTCTGGCATTAGAAAACTAGAATCTATAACTGATTCTATACTTTTTCTCACATTTTCTTGATAGTTTGGCAGGGTATAGTATGTAACACTCCAAATATTTTTTTCACTCAATATTTGAAGGGATTCTTTAATCTCTTGTTTCCTATAAGAAAATATTTGTCAGTATATGATTTTTACTAATTTAGCCCAGAAGTATTTTGTGAATACTTCCTTCCATGTAGGTACCTTTTGTTTGTCTGTAGAAGTTTTTGAATCTTTTTCTTATTCTTACAATTCACAATGTTGTATCTAGGTGTTGGTGTGTTTCACCCCTCATGAATTCTCCAGGTGTTTTTATTCTGAAACTTTTAAAATTGGGGGAATATTCTGTTGTATTCTGATTGTTCCCTCTCTCCATCACTTTTACGTTCCTTTTAGGAAACATTTTTAGATAGATTTCAGACTCTGGCTCCTTCATGATTTTTCTCTCTTAATTTCTGTGTGCCTGTTTTAACTTTATCATATTACATTCATTTTAAAATCAATAACTTGATTTTGAGTCAAGATTTCTTTTCTGTCACTTACTCTATATTTGTAAAAAGTCACAATGATTGTCATGTTTTCTGATTATTCTTTTTCTTTGTCAACTGTGATAATAATTGTAAAAAATATTAGTTGTAGTGATCAAAAAGTTTTGTTCCCCAATTTTCTTAATGGGTTACATTATTTTATATATCCTTCTTTATGCTGTCGGTACCCTTTGACTATCTTTAGACTCTTTATTATTTGTATATATTTATGACTAAAAAACCTATGATGATGAAAATAAGTAAATGTTTCCTTTGACTTTGTGTAGGTCTTTACTCAACAGATCTTTGACTAGAATAAGAGCTGGGGAAAAGTATCCTGTGCCAGTTAAGGAATTGTGTAGGCAAAGCAGCTTCTCCACTGGATGTGTGTAGGGAATTTATTTGATGATATTGCATATCACTAAAATATAGAAAGAAAAAAAGACCTAGGATAATTATTCCATTGGTGGTCTAGTTGGGAACGCATGGTGTACTGAATCTTGGCTTTTCCCTGCTCAACAGTCATTTTCTAGTGACTACTACCAAATTCCTAAGTCTTTGAGTCTCTTCCTTGACCTTTTTTTTTTTTTTCCACCATATACATTTTGAATGAAACTCTGATAATTAACCTTTAACAAGAAGGCTGTTTGTCTTGCTATTGGTATTTGATGTGCTCCTTTGATAAATATTCTGTTGTAATTATAAATTTTATTTTATATGCTACATGAAGTTCCTATTGATCACATAAGTTTTTACCATAGGAAACAATAAAGGCCAACAATAAAATAGAAATTATAAAGAAGTGGTACATTTCCAGGAAAATAAGAGGAATATTGTTTCATGGTAGAATTCTTCAGAGCTTATTGAAAGGCTTTTGAGAAAAGTAAAGGAAGTTTAAAAACATATGAAATATAGATGAGGCAGAATAATGCTTCCTGGATGGGTAGAATGAGAAAAAGTTCTTAATGGCAAATGAAAAACCATGGTTAAAAATCTTTGGTACTTGGTTTTTTACTTTCTAGACCTCTTTTAATGAATGAGTAGTGTAAATATAAATAAGACAAGGTAATATTTGTCCTTTATAAGGAAAAACTAAGTAAAATGTTGATGAATTCTTCTGAAATATACTTCATAACTATATAGTGTACTCATTTGAAGACCAGAGTTGATGCCATAAATACTTTGCTCAATTCAATGTCAGAATGTCAATGCTTGCTTGATTAGAAGACCACTTATTTTCATTTCATTCTTCTTTAAAGACCACATTATATACTTTCCCAGCTTGCATTAGCTTCTCACTGTGAAGTGATCTTTCATGTTAAAAAAAGAAAATATTTTCCACCCCAAAATGGCAGATTAGAGGTTTTCAGCATACCCAGGCCACTAGGAAATAGTAAGATAGGGCATAAAGATCAATTCTACAAGCTTTAATTCAAGAAGGAAAATGGGAATCCATTGGAATCATGAAGGACACCCCAGGTCCCAGGGAGGAGAATGTGGGCAAACAGCCCCTGTGATGGTGTTCAGCTGATGAAAGTGAGTGAAGCCCCAGTATGTGTGAGAGGAAGAGAGCCTCCCTCTGTGACTCACCCTTCCACAGGGATCCAAGCAACCCAGACCAAGTGAGAGCACTTTGTTTCTTTCAAGCCCTGGAGATAATTTGGGGAGAGGCTTAGAATACTTGTGAGAGGAAGACACTGGGAAAATCTGCAGACATTTTGCAGTCCTGAAACTGAGAGTAGCATGCTATTTTTAATCTGGGCACAAAGTTAGTCATTTTTTGGTGACCCAGAAGCATGGCCAAGCAGGCATTTAGTCTCAAGCCAGAGATTGGAGCACCTGCTCTGCAATAAGGTAGGGGCCTCCATAGCCAGAACTGTGCAAACTGTCTCAGTGTAAGCACTGGAATTATGCTCTCCCTGGGGGAGGAGGAGAGCTGCTACAGCTGTAAATTCTCTTGACAACAAGACTTGCAGCCAGGGCCAGCTTGGCAAGCTGGAACTGGTTTGCATGTGTCATTGCTAGGTGCCCCTGCCTGCTGTCATGAGATCGTGGTCCACTTCACTCCCAGGCATAAATCCAGGCATTTGGAGGATCTTTTTTTTCTGGACCAGCAGCCTGAGTCACCCCACCTTTCTTCACCATAGATTGTGGTGCAGGAGGGCCCTCTGTGCTCCATGCCCAGGCAGATCTCCAGGCATTCAGAAGTTGAGATCCAAAAATCCACACAAAAAAATCGATGAAACAAAAGTTTGTTTTTTGAAAGGATAAACAAAATTGATAGACAGCTTGCTTGATTAGCAAAGAACAAAAGAGAGAAGATCCAAATGAACACTATCAGAAACAACAAAGGTGACCTTACAACTGATCCCACAGAAATACAAAAGACCCTTAGAGATCATTATGAATACCTCTATGCAAACAAACTAGAAAATCTAGAGGAAATGGATACATTCCTAGAAACACATTTCCCAAGGTTCAATAAAGAAGGACCTGAAACTCTGAACAGATAAATATTGAGTTCCAAAACTGAATCAGTGATTAAAAAAACCTACCAACCCCCGCAACTGCAAAAAAAAAGCCCAGGACCAGATGGATTCAGAGCCAAATCATACTAGATGCACAAAGAAGAGCTGGCACTAATTCTACAAAAAGTATTAAAAAAAATAATAATCTAGGAGGAGAGACTCCTCCCTAACTTATTCTACAAAGCTAGCATCATCCTGATACCAAAACCTGGCAAAGATACAATGAAAAAAGAAAACTACAGGCCAATATTCCTGATCAACAGAGATTTAAATATCCTCAACAAAATACTAATAAACTGAATTCAACAGCATATCAAAAAGCTAATTTATTATGATCAAATAGGCTTCATTCCTGGGATGCAGTGTTGGTTCAACATACACAAATCAACAAATGTGATTCACCACTTAAGCAGAATTAAAGACAAAAACAATATGCTTATCCCAATACATGTGGAAAAAGCTTTTGATAAAATCCAATATTCCTTCATGATAAAAACACTCAAGAAACTAGGCAGTGAAGGAACATACCTCAAAATAATAAGAGCCATCTATGACAAACCCACAGCCAATCTCATATGGAATGGGCAAAACCTAGAAGCATTCTCCTTGAGAACTGGTACAAGAAAAGGATGCCCACTTTCACCACTCCTATTCAATATAGTATTGGAAGTCTGAGCCAGAACAAACAGGCAACAGAAATAAATAAAAGCATCCAAATTGGAAAAGAAATCAAACTATTTCTCTTCATGGACAATGTAAAGCTATAACTAGAAAACCCTAAACACTCTGCCAAATGCTCCTGAAAGTGATAAACAGCTTCAACAGTTCATATACCAATAACATTCAAGCTGAGAGTTAAATCAAGAGCACAATCCCGTTTACAATAGTCACACCAAAAAAGAAAAAAAAAAACCTAGGAGATCTAACAAGGAGGTAGAAGATCTCTGCAGGGAGAACTACAAAACACTGTTAACAGAAATAGTAGATGACACAAACAAATGTAAAAACCTTATATGCTCATAGGATTGGAAGAATCAATATCATTCAAATGATCATATGTCCAAAGCAATCCCAGATTCAACATTATTCTTATCAAACTACCAATGTTATTCTTCATAGGATTAGGAAAAAACTGTTCTAAAATTTATATGAAACCAAAAAAGATCAAATAGCCAGATCAATCTAAAGCAAAAAGGACAAAGTTGGAGGTGTCTGTCACATTACCTGACTTCAAACTATACTATAAGGCTATGGTAACCAAAACAGCATGGTACTGGTGCAAAAACTGGAACACAGAATCCAGAATCCAGAGATAAAGCTGCATCCCTGTAGCCCTCTGATCTTCGACAAAGTTGACATAAATAAGCAATGTTGAAAGGACTCCCTATTAAATAAGTGGAACTGGAATAGCTGGCTAGCCATATGCAGAAGAAGACCCCTTCATTTTACCATGTACAAAAATTAACTCAAAATGGATTAAATATAATACCTCAAAGTATAAGAGTTCTAGAAGAAAGCCATTCTGGATATTGGCCTTGGGAAAGAATTTATGGCCAAGTCTTCAAAAGCAGTTGCAACAAAAACAAAAATTGACAAATGAGATCAAATTAAAGAGATTCTGCACAGCAAGAGAAACTATCAACAGAGTAAATGGACAACTTACAGAATGGCAGAAATATTTACAAACTACGCATCCAACAAACATCTAATATCTAGAATCTATAAGGAACTTGAACAATTCAACAAGCAAAAAACAACCCCATAAAAAAGTAAGCAAAATACGTGAACAGATACCACTCAAATGAAGTCATACAAGTGGCCAACAAACATATGAAAAAATGCTCCACATCACTAATCATCACAGAAATGCAAATCAAAACCACAATGAGATACCATCTCACTCCAGTCAGAATGGCTATTATTAAAAAGTCAAGAAACAACAGATGCTGATGAGGCTGTGGAGAAAAGGGAACACTTATGCACTGTTTGTTGGAAAGTAAATTAGTTCAGCCACTGTGAAAAGCAGGCTGGAGATTTCTCAAAGAACTTAAAACAGAGCTACCGTTTGACCCAGCAATCCCATCACCATATATATATTCAAAAGAAAATAACAGCAAAGACATGGAATCAACCTAGATGCTCATCAATGGTGGACTGGATAAAGAAAAGATGGTATATACACCATGAAATACTATGGAGCCATAAAAAGAAACAAAATTATGTTATTTGCAGTAACATGGATGCAGCTGGAGGCCATTATCCTTAGCGAATTAACATGGGAACAGAAAATAAAATACCATGTGTTCTCACTCATAAGGGGGAGCTAAACATTGTGTACCTGTGGACATAATGTGGCAACAATAGACACGGGACTACTAGACAGGGGAAGAATGAAGAAGGGTAAGGTCTGGAATACTAATTATTGGGTACTATGTTCATTACCTGTGTGATGGGATCAATTATTATCTCAAACCTCACCATCATGCAATATTCACAGGTCACAAACCAACACATATACCCCCCAATATGAAATAAAAATTTAAACTAAAAAAAAAGAAACAATACCTAGCTATTAATACGTGGAGTGTGATTAATAAGAAAAAATTTAGGTAGTTCTAAATGAACCCTAATAATATTTTATTGCAATCACATTATTTTCACTTATTATAATTGTGTTTGACTACCAAAACAACAGTTGAAATAAAAAATATTATTTCACTAGTAGAAAAACCAACTGGTAATTCTTGAGAGTTCATGTTTTTAGTAACAAACAGAAGGTACTAGCTGAGACAAGAATGTCAACACCGTTGAGTTGAATTGAATTCACTTTGTCTCCAAAGGTCCAACATATTGTCTTGATGTTCTGTAGCTCTTGATGCCCAAATGTATAGATTTTTCTTGGTTAAAGGTCACTGATTTTTCTTTATAGGCATGGAGTCAAAAGAAAGTAAAGAAAACTACTGACCTACTGTAATGCATTTGTGTTTGTATGTGTGTGTGTATTTATGAGAAATGTTTCAGGGACGGATCTATCTACCCTTTGCTGTTGGTCCATTTTGTCATTGGCACTTTATGTTGTAAGATGCATGCTGGCATGCAAGGGTGAAAAAATTATTAGTCAATAGAAGACTTTGGTGCTTGTCAGGCTTTATTGCCACTGTGCTGATCAACTGAGCAAAAATTGTCACAGAACAAAAACTTCCTATAATATTTGTTTTTGTGTTTTAGAAGGCTACATTATGCTAATTTTGGCCTAAGAGCCCATTTATTTTGTGATGTTTATTGTATTGTATTGTATTGTATTGTATTGTATTGTATTGTATTGTATTGGTATAAATCCATAGAAAGTATTATTAAAAAATAAAAACAAAGGTAATTTTATAGTATTTCCTTGGCTGATGTTAACTGTATTTGGAAAAGCTGACCTCTGCTTTATGCAGATACTTAAAATATAATATCAAAAACTGAAATGACTCTAAGAAGCCAAATGTGGAGGAAATTCATTCTACAAATTATTATTTTATGGTTCTAAGTAATGCTGATCTTCTTGTTAACAAATCACAGGAGTTTTGCATTTTTTTGTTAATTCATTAAGGCTTGTTACTCTGATTGATCCTGTAGCTTGGGAATGCATCATTCTCTAGCAGTAATTTATGATATATGCAAAGAAACCAGGCCTCGTTTTCTCTTTGCCTAGTAATCTCTGCATGGACCTAGAACCTTTCTCTGGATAATCCACCTGAAGCCCAGTCTTGAGTTTTTGAAGTTCTTGCTCAATACCAGTGACTATAAACATGATTGGAGGGTCTAACACATAAATATAAAAAACATAAAAAATTACTTCAAAATAAGTAGTAATAATCAAGAATGTTCCCTGCATGCATTTTGAACCAAATATTTATGAAATATTTGCAAAATATGTGTTTATGACATATACACATTGTGTTTGGCTCATTTCAGTGTGGGAACATAGAGACTTTTGGCTCTCTTTGTATCAGTAGGGAGACAGATTCATGACAAAGCATCCTTCAACAAAGCTATAGTTTTCAAGCCATAGCTGATTGAAAACCTTTTCATGAATTCTATTCATACTGTACTTACCAGTGTCCTTAACTCAGTTGCACTTGAATTTTAGTACATTTCAAAAGGTTCATTCAACTACCCTTAAATTGAAAATGATGCCTACGCATAAACAACATTAATATGGACATTTAAATGAAACTTTCAAGGAGACTGAGAGAGACTGCAGAATAGGAAGGCATACAACCTTCTACCAAATACCTTATTTTCAATATATTTTGCTTTCTTGATGTGCATAGCTACCAAAAGTTATAAGAAAAGATTTTGTATAGAGAGACAAAACAATGTTCCTGGTGTCACATACATTATAGCAACAAGGTTAGCCATGAGACAAAGACGTTTTGAAAAGCATATTGTATGTATTGAATACACAGTTACGTATATTGTTATAAACTTTATATGTATTTTCAAAACTCACAGAATGAATTAAATTGATATCATGATGCTTTTTAACAGAACTCAGCATGTGTAAATGCTATTATTTTTGAAAGCTTAAAATTTTTTTTCAGTTGCTTGTTACGTGGACAGATAGAACGTGACCTCTACCTTGCATATCTTCATGAGAAAAAAACACAATGCATTTGTGATGGGTAATTTCACATTTCAAGTTTGAAAAGTCCTGTTCCATAAAATACTAATTTTTGCCCTCCTTTTAACTGTTACTGAGTCAAGACTCTCTAGATACAATTTTAAAAATTTAAAATTTCAGGAAGGGAAGGAAAAGAAAAGCAATGTGATTTGCAACTAGAATAGGAGAGGTTTAACAAACTTAGGAGATTCTTGGGAACTTATAGGTACAGTCTCTAAAGCATCATGTACAAAAATTTTGTTTTATGGGTAAAAGAAAAACACAGATATCGAAGGCAATATAGAAACTGAAAAGTTGTAATGGGAAGAATTATTTTGAATATGTTTACAGAAAAACAAATACTAAACAAACAAACAAACAGAAACCTTAGATCTTCTGCTTTGCCCAGAAAATATAATTAGGTAAGTCATAGACTTGAAACAAATGACCTCAAAACATAACTATTTCAAATGATATATCAAATATAACATAATATGGGAGGTAAAAAAACATGTATTTTTATTCTTGTTATATTTGTGTAATGAAAAATTATATCTAATGTTCCTATAATTGTTTGATTTGTCATGGAGGAAAAGACAATCAGTCGCTTGTGAATGCATTCCATATTCCAGGAACTTTGCCTGATGCTTCTAGTACTTCTCATTTAATTATCTTGAAACTCTAAGAAGAAATCATTTTATTCCCCCCTTTTACAGATGAGGATCACATGACTTGGACACTTGCCCAGTTTCAGTTTTATCCCCCTAACTAGGGGCAGGTTGTCACTACAAACCATGGTCTTTCTGACTTGAAGTTTGATGTTCCTTCCACTTTGCTATGCTGACATCCTAAGTTTTCAAGGCTTATAACTCTGTATATTATCTCATTTGATTCTCATGTGTATTATCTTGTTTGATTCTCATGAGAACTGTGTAAAATTTATTAAACAGAAATGGATATTCTCATTTTAAAGATAAGAAAATGAAAATAAACAATAGATAAACTAACATCCTATTTCTAATTTGTGACAGAAGTGGTTTTTTTAAAATCCAAGTTTCAAATATTAGAGGAATGTATTTTCTATGTCAGATTATGCCTCTAATGGCAATATGATGGAAGACAATATTCTAATATAGAGATAATTCAGAGCCAGGGTCTAAGTGGTATCCTCATTCAGGATTTGTGTGTATCCTGGATTGTTTGGGTAATGTTGATTCTACTGTCATTTACCAGAGGGTTTCTTGTACCTGAGAGGACAGAACCTGATGAGATGCTGTCTGGTGGTAACCCGGGCCCTGGCTCAATACCGTCTAACACTTTGAAACAGTGCCCTCCCATTTTTCCAAGGCAGACTTAAGGGGAAGTTCTGGGAGAACAAGGTAAGTATGGGGAATCTAGTTTGGGAATGAGAAGAGGACTGTATTTGTAGGCAATGCATCATCAGTTCATTAGGTTCTGACCAAAATTCCCTTCATGTCTTACCTCTTCCTGATACTCATAGAAATTACAGAGGGGAAAAATATGTTGAGTAAAAATGTAGTATCATTAAATACACTGCAAAAATTGGGAAATGTAAAATCACTGTTTTGTGGCCTAAAACAAAGGTTGAATCAGATTGAGGGAAGGCATGGCTTCAGACTTTAGCATTTTCACTTATAGAGAAAGACCACAAAGTAGAGATCACATAGATGGTGGCCAAAAGTGAGATAAGACCAGCCTTTGAGAGCCCTGTGAACAAGGTCAGCTCAGCAAGAATCTTCTTATTTTGTATTTAGATTTTTGTGGTTTCCAGGTAATAAATATAACATCTGCAAATAGTGTGGTGAACATTTTCTAATTATAACAACAGTCATGTGGTACTAATATTTATTGAGTGCTTAACAGATGTCAGAAAGAGAACTGTGTTTTCCGTGTATTATCTCATTTAGTTCCTGCATGACATTTATGTTCAGGTATGATTATTATTTTTGTTGTACACATGAAAACGATGGAGGCACATGCTTAACTGCTAGGTGTTACTTCTTCCACACAGATTGTTTTTTAATCAGAAATTAATTTATTACTATATCACAGGTGTATTAGTCCATTTTCACACGCTGATAAAGACATACCCGAGATGGGGAAGAAAGAAAGGTTTAATGGACTTATGGTTCCATGTGGCTGGGGACTTCTCACAATCATCCAGAAAGTGAAAGGCATGTATCACATGGCGGCAGACAAGAGAATAGAGTTTGTGCAGGGAAACTCTCCCTTATATAATCATCAGATCTCATGAGACTTATCCACTATCACAAGAACAGCATAGGAAAAACCTGTCCCCATGACTCAGTTACCTCCCAATGGGTCCCTCCCACAACACATGGGAATTCAAGATGAGATTTGGGTGGGGACACAGCCAAACCATATAATTCTACCACTGACCCCTCCCAAATCTCATGTCCTCGCATTTATAAACCAATCATGCTTTCCCAACAGTTCCCCAAAATCTTAACTCATTTCAGCATCAACTCAAAAGTCCACAGTACATAGTCTCATTTGAGACAAGGCAAGTCCCTTCTGCCTATGAGTCTGTAAAATCAAAAGCAAGTTAGTTACTTCCTAGATACAACTGGGATAGAGGCATGTGGTAAATACAGCTGTTCTAAATGGGAAAAATTGGCCAAAACAAAGGGGCTACAGGCCCCATGCAAGTCTGAAATCTAGCAGGGTGGTCAAATCTTAAAGCTCCTAAATGATCTCCTTTGACTCCAGGTCTCACATCCAGGTCACGCTGATGCAAGAGATGGGCTCCCACAGCCTTGGGTAACTCTGCCCCTGTGGATTTGCAGGGTATAGCCCCACTTCTGGCTGCTTTCATGGGCTGGGATTTATTGTTTGTGGCTTTTCCAGGCACACGGTTCAAGCTGTCGGTGGATCTACCATTCTGAGGTCTGGAGGATGGTGGCCCTCTTCTCGCAGCTCCACTAGGTGGTGCCCCAGTAGGGATCTGTGTGGGGCCTCTGACCCCACATTTCCCTTCCCTGCTGCCCTACCAGAGGTTCTCCATGAGAGCCCTGCCCCTGCAGCAAACTTCTGCCTGGACATCCAGGTGTTTCAATACATCTTCTGAAATCTAGGGGGAGGTTCCCAAACCTCAATTTTTGACTTCTGTGTACTTGCAGACTCAACACCACATGGAAGCTGCCAAGGCTTGGGGCTTGCAACATCTGAAGCCATGTCCTGAGTTCTATGTTGGCCCCTTTCAGCCATGCCTGGAGCAGCTGGGACGCAGAGCACCAAATCTCTAGGCTACACCAGCACGGGGATCCTGGGCCTGGCCCATGAAACCACTTTTTTCCTCCTAGGCCTCCAGGCCTGTGATGGTAGGGGCTGGCGTGAAGACCTCTGACAAGCCTTGGAGACATTTTCCCCATTGTCTTGGGGATTAACATTTGGCTCCTTGTTACTTAAGCAAATTTCTGCAGCCAGCTTGAATTTGTCCTCAGAAAATAAGACTTTGTTTTCTATTGCATTGTCAGGCTGCAAATTTTCCAAACTTTTATGCCCTGTTCCCCTTTTAAAACTGAATGCCTTCACAGTACCAAAGTCATCTCTTGAATCCTTTGGTGCTTAGAAATTTCTTCCACCAGATACCCTAAATCATCTCTTTCAAGTTCAAAGCTCCACAAATCTCTAGAGCAGGAGAAAAATGCCACAAGACTCTTTGCTAGAAGATAACAAGAGTCACCTTTGGTCCAGTTCCCAACAAGTTCCTCATCTCCATCTGAGACCATCTCAGCCTGGATTTTATTGTCCATATCATTATTAGCATTTTGGTCAAAGCCATTCAACAAGTCTCTAGGGAGTTCCAAACTTTCCCACATTTTCCTGTCTTCTTCTGAGCCCTCCAGACTGTTCCAACCTCTAACTGATAACCAGTTCCAAAGTCGCTTCCACATTTTTGTGTATTTTCTCAGCAGTGCCCCACTCTGTGGTACCAATTTACTGTATTCGCCCATTTTCACACTGCTGATAAAGACATACCTGAGACTGGGAGGGAAAAAAGGTTTAAAGGATTTATAGTTTCATGTGGCTGAGGATGTCTCACAATCATGGTGGAAGGTGAAAGGAAGGTGAAAGAAGAGAACTTGTGTGGGGAAACTCTCCCTTATGTAATCATAATATCTCATGAGACTTACTCACTATCATGAGAACAGCACAGGAAAGACCTGCCCCTGTGATTCAATTACCTCCCACCAGGTCCCTCCCACAACATGGGGGAATTCAAGATAAGATTTGAGTGGGGACGCTGCTTAACCACATTGACAGGCTATTAAAAGAAATATAGCAAATTGAAAAAATAAATGTTAAAATACTGTATTTTTAATTTAAGCTTTCAATTAATATAGCTTTATTTAACATAGCCAAATAAAACATGAATTTTTACAAACTATGAAAAGGACAAAAATTTACTTTAAAACTACACTTAATAATTTCAAATATTTGTGGTATTTAAAGTGAAAAAACAAAGAAAAATCATTTTATCTGCCTAGGTCAAAACCAAAATTTGGATTTTTATTTGCATAACTGAATTCTATTTGAAAAGCTAATATCTCTCATATGTCCTCCAAAGTCTAATTGTAATTCAGTGACTGCTGAATACCATCTTAATTCATTCTTTTACACTATTATTAATTATTTGTGAAGTACCTACTAAGAGCATTAATTCTCTATTGATTGCCAGGGATGGAGAATGTGAAAAGTCATAAACTCTGCCTTTAACTAGTTGATATTATAGAGAGAAAACAAGTAATATGTTAAGTACTGTAGCAGAAGAAACAGACTTCTGGGAGAGCAGTGAGAAAGCCATGCTTATCTCAGCTGAGAAGGGTGGGGGAGTTTCTGCAGAGAAGACAGCACCTAAGCTGAAAGATGCTGGTCCATTGTAAGCCCAGAAAGGAATAGTATTCCAGATGGAGGATTATAATAATGATAAGCTTTGTCTTCAGTAGTCCTCATCAAAGGGCTCTCATTTGACCAGACAATTTTTTAAAAAATCTTGCTTCTCATTGAAAGACTTCCAGAAGTTGTTCTTTATTTTTAGATTTCCAATGTTCTTTCTTGACCTGTTCTTTAACCAGGTTTTAGAGAATATGCTTTGCTACACTTTTTTCTCCTTATTATGAAGCTACAGCTTGCTAATAACCTTTGTAGTGCACATTGATTGCTTCAAATGATAAATGATCTGTCTATCAGAATTGATGTTATTGACAAATGTTTTCTGTGGACACATGGGTTTAAGATACATGACTATTCCATGTGGTCATATCTGTCAGCTTGCGAAAGTTTGCTTGATCATTAAAATAGAGTATTCAGTTATACAAATGTTTCTCATTTCATTATTCCTTGTACAGTGGACAAAGTAACCTTGGCAAAGAACTTTTATATCATGCTGAATACTGTTTCCACTATCCCTCTGCTGCATATAATTTTCTTTTTAATTTTACTTATCTCTAAGTTTTTTCTGACATTTGAAACTTAGCATCTTAATCTACTTTTTTCTTCATTGTATTAATTTTCAGTTTCCCAAGCTGATTCACATTTATGGTCCTCTTAGACTCACTGTTAGAGCCTTCCTTTTTTTTTTTTTTTTTTGCAGTTGTGTGTCACTTTCTATTTTGTATCATTTTTATCTTTATTATATTTATTTAAAACGTGTTACAAAGATAATTCGATTCCTGCAGGTAAAGCTAGTCTGATCCCTACACACTTCAAGAGATTCTGGGGAGGTCAAGATTTGGGCACCCTTGGCTGGGATGTTGAGTTAAACCCTAAATGGGAGAGCAAAGAGATGGTAAGAATAAAGTAGTAGCATCTGTGTACCCCTTTTCCACTCTTATGATGCCAAAGTAAAAAATAAACATGAAAGCAGAAAAGTATTCTCTCTGGAGGTGGTCATATACCTCAAGCCTATATTTTCAAAGAATACTTTTATCAAGCTTAATAATTGGTTAGGAGTCTCTCAGAACTTTATTCCTTTTATATCACAAAGAAGGTGACCTTTTTAATAATTCTATCAACAGTATAGTTATATTGAATACTTCCTCAAGTAAGTTCTCTAAAGCCCTTTTCTGGGAAACGTCAATAGTGTATCATGAAAAAGTAATCAGTACTTAAATAAATTTAGAAACATCAAATACTGTATCTCCTTATATATTCATTGTAGATTTTCCCATACCAAAGGATGAGAACATTTCTAGATGAAAGCTATTTGTTTAACACTTTTAAAGCCAAGATTTCCAAAATATATGTGACTAGGAAATCTTTCTGATATGGTAGCATTTCTTGTGGAAAAGTGTTTAGAAAACAAGACCCGAGAGAATAACTTGTTTCTTGGATCCAATTCATTGAGTCCCACTACCTTTCACAGATTATAGATACGGGGTACAGAAAGGCACACATAAACAAATGAACCTGGGGGAACTGATTTTCCACATTATTTTTTTTTTTGATATATTAAAACCCATTCCATAGCCCACCTCTGACATCAGTTGCGGTTCTGGCAGACAGCTCCTTTGCACACTGACAGAATTATATTCCAAGTTCGTGCCTGCCTTCTTTCTCCATTTTTCTACCACAGAACATTTTACGATGCCTGTTTAAGTTGCTGGACCCAAACATAGGGCAGTCTGAGTGTGCTGAGGTGGAAGGCTTGGGAGGCGATGTTAAAGTCTGCGTGGCAACTCCCAGCAAATAAGGGGAAAGATGACTGTCCCAGACTCTGTCCTGCCAATAGATAATTCTGAGTTGCATTCTACACAGTTCTCCAGAGGCCTCTCAGTGGGACTGAGTTGATTTGCCCACAGTGGTAACCAACTCATTAACCCATACTATACTGGGTTTCTTTCCATTCCTTTCTCACTTTCACTTCTGCTTCCTGAGGTTATCTCCTAAAAAAGGTAAGTCCTTGTCTCAGAATCTTCTTTTAGGCAAAACCAAATAGTGACAATCTTTTCTTCCCCAAGTGGCAAAAATAGGTAAGGGTTACACTGACATATGAAAGCATATTCTTGGTTCCTGAAGACCCCATCTGGTCTATATTACGTTTTGAACTGATTCTTTTCTATGTGCCAGGGTTCTTTTGAGGGATATATAACCTGATGGTCTTTTAGCCCTGCCATTTTGGCCTAAATGTTATCAGAGCTTCTGCTTTGGCCTTAAAGCCATCTCCATTCTGTAAAACAACAAGAATAATACCAGTTTTCATTTAAAAAACAATTTTGGCAAATACACAGTATGCTTAAAGAGTATTCTATCCTTACGACTACAGGATAACTACAATAACATGTAGATACTATTGTCGTCACTTCACAGATACAAAAAACCTAAGAACCAGAGAAGTTCAGTGATTTGCAGATCATCCTCCTGGTTATTAGCAGAGCCAGAATTGGAACTCAAATCTTTGTGACTCCATGGTCCAAGCTCCAAGCCACTGCTTTCTATTTAAACCCCATGTCTAACAATTGTTAACCCATTATGATCACATACCCTTCTGCTTATATATTCAGTGGATTACCAGAAGTTTTCACTTCCTCTTTAAAATGAGGATAATAATGCTACTTTATAGTACAGTCAGAATTATAAAATGAGTCACTGTATGTGAACATAAAACCCACTTAACAGTCTCTATAAAAATGTTTATTTCTATTATTACCAGAATTACATAGAATCCATCTCCTCCCCTCTTTTTGAGTTCTTGAGTGTATCCTTTGTAACCTCTAGTAGGTAAGAAGATGTGATAACACATGGAAAACTACATGGGAATTATTTTAGAAGCTAAGGCTAGAAGTATATCAATGCTGTATTCTGGCCATTCCATTGGCCAGTATTAAGTCACATGACCCTACCTAACTGCAAGGGAAATTGGGAAATATCATCTAGCTATAGACTTTATGTGTGCCCAGGTGGAAAAGGAAGGGAAGATAAGCAATTACATAGGAATATCTCCCATGTTAATCCTCATTGTTATTAGTGTAATTTAAATGTGACATATTCAGAAAAGTGTTCTACCTCCAACCTATAGCCGGCATCCCACCAGGTCTCAGTGCAGCTCCATCATCACCTTTCTAGTTCTAGTAATTATTTCTCCCCCTGATTGCAATATCTACCTAACTGGTTTCCCTGCTCCACCGTTGCCATTGTAAAAATGCATTCTGCAGTCAGAAAATACATAATGTCATTATGGTCAACTTATCTCTCCCGCTACTCAAAATTTTCCAGTGGATTTCCATCACAGAATTAAAGTCTTTGTCTCTGACTTTGGTGTTACAGTTTATAACCTCCACCTTGTGGTTCTCTGTGCTAGTCACAGTAGTCTTGCTACTCAATGGACACTCCACGCCCCTTCCTGCCTTAGCACAGTAGAATTGCTCTTTTCTATTCTTGAAGTGCTCTTGCCATATATCTTTGCATAGCTCCTTCCTCATTTTATTCATTTCATTCATATCCTCAAAAAGGTCTTTTTCATCATCACACTTAAAATATGCCTCAGTCATTCTCTAAACCCTTAATCTGTTTTTATTCATAGCACTTATAGTGCCTGATAATATATTGTGTTTATATATATATATCTACTTATTTACCAGTTTACTCATTAGATTGTAACTTTATGAGGACAGTTTTTAAAATTTTTATTTATTTTTAATTTTTTTTTAAATTTAAATTTTATTTTATTTGTTTATTTTTTTGAGACCTAGTTTTGCTCTTGTTGCCCAGGCTGGAGTGCAATGGTGCAATCTTGGCTCACCACAACTTCCGTCTCCCAAGTTCAAGTGATTTTCCTGCCTCAGCCTCCCAAGTAGCTGGGATTACAGGCATGTGCCACCACACCCGGCTAATTTTGTATTTTTAGTAGAGACAGGGTTTGTGCATGTAGGTCAGGCTGGTCTCGAACTCCTGACTTCAGGTGATCTGCCTGCCTTGGACGCCCAAAGCCCTAGTATTACAGGCGTGAGCCACTGCTTTTGACCCTAATTTTTATTTTTATTGATAGCAGAGGACAACTTTATTATTACGTCTTCAGTTTTTTTCTTTATTGAGGTATAATTGACAAGTGAATGTATGTATTTACAGTGTACAATGTGGTGTTTTGATTGATGTATAAATTGTGAAATGATTACCACAATCAAGCTAATTGGCATATTTATCACTTCACATAGCTAACATTTGTGCATGTGTGTGTGGTGAGAACATTTAATATCCACTCCCTTAACAATTTTCAATCATAAATTATATTATTATTAACTATGGTTACCATGCTGTAATACAGATCTCCAGAACTTATTCATCCTAACTGAAAGTTTGTACCTTTTGACCATCTTTCCATTCCCCTTCTACCCTCCACCCCCTATCCCCTGGAACCCACCATTCTATTCTTCGCTTCTATGAGTTAGACTCTTTTAGGCTCCACATATAAGTGAGATCATGTTGTATTTGTCTTTCTGTGTCTCGCTTATGTCTTCTAGATTTAATCATGCAAATTACATGATTTTCTTCTTTTATAAGACTGACTACTATCTTATGTACACACACACAAACACACACAATTTTCTTTACCTTTTTATTAGTCAATGGACTCTTACATTGATTCCATATCTTAACATTTATGAATAATGCTGCAATTAAGATAGGAGTGTATATATCTTTTTGAGATAGTTTCATGGCTTTTGAAGTACAATTACTGGATTACATATATGGTAGTTACATTCTTAAATATTTTTGAAGAAGTCTGTACTGTTTCCATAGCGGCTGAACCAATTTACATTTCCACCAACAGTGCACCAGGGTTCCCTTTTCTCCACATCCTTGGCAATACATTTTATCATTTGTCTTTTTGATAATAGCCATTCTAACAGGAGTGAAGTGATATCTCATTGTGGTTTTAATTTGCATTTCTCTGATGATTAGTGATGTTCAACATTTTTTCATACACATGTTGTCATTTGTATATCTTCTTTTGAGAAATATCTATTTCTTGAACCTTTTAAAAATCAGATTGTTTTCTTGTTACCAAGTTGTTTGAGTTTTTTATATATTTTTAGATATTAAACCATTATCAGATGTATGGATTATAGATATTTTCTCTCATTTTGTAGATTGTAACTTTATTCTGTTGATTGTTTCCTTACTGTGCAAAACCTTTTGAGTTTCAAGCAATCTTACTTGCCTATTTTTTGTTTATTGACTGTGATTTTGAGGTCATATCCAAAAAATCTTTGCCCAGATCAATGTGAAGAACCATATTCTCTGTTTTTTCTTTTAGTAGCTTTACAGTTTCAGGTTTTACTTTATTAAGTCTTTAATCCATTCTGAGTTGATTTTTATGTATGGCATGAGATTGGGGTCCAGTTTCTTTTTTCTGTGTATAGAGATCCAGTTTTCCTAACACCATTTATTGAAGAGATTATCTTTTCCCATAGTATGTTCTCAGCATCTTTGTCAAAAATCAGTTCACCATAAATCAGTGGATTATTTTTGGGATCTCTATTCTGTTCCATTAGTCTATGTGTCTGTTTTTATTCCAGTACCATGCTGTTTTGAGTACTATAGCTTTGCAGTATATTTTGAAGCTAGGTAGTGTGATGTCTCCATTTTTGCTCTTTTGCACAACATTGCTTTGGCTATTCATTGTCTTTTGTGGTTCCATATAAACTTTAGGATTGTTTTTTCTATGTATATAAAAAATATCACATAGATATAAATTTGATAGGGCTTGCACTTTGATTATAGATTGCTTTAGGTAGTCTGGGTATTTTGGCAATAATAATTTTTCCAATCTATGATGATGAAGTATCTTTCCATTTATTAGCATCTTCTTCAATTTCTTTCATGGATTTCTTACAGTTTTCAATGTACAAATCATCTCTTTGGTAAATTTATTCCTAATTATTTTATTCATTTACATTCTATTTTTAATTGAATTTAAAAGTTTTTGTTTTTAGATAGTTTGTTAGTGTATAGAAATGCTACTAATTTTTGTATATTGACTTATTTTAATATTGCAACTTCACTGAATTTATGAGTTCTAACAGTTGTCTAGTAGAGTCTTTAGGGCTTTCTATACATGAGCTCTTATTTGCAAGCAGAGATAATTCTATTTCTTCATTTCTGGTTTGGATCCCTTTTATTTCTTTTTCTTCCTTAATTTCTCTGACTAGGGCCACTACTATATTTAATAGAAGTGATGAGAGTGGACAAATTTTTCTCATTTTGAGGACAACGAAATGAATGTATAGTTCACTTCTGTATTATTATTATCCTTTTTTTTCTGAGACAGAGTCTGGTGCTGTCACCCAGGCTGGAGTGCAGTGGTGATCCAGGCTCACTGCAACCTCTGCCTACTGGGTTCAAGCAATTCTCGTGCCCTAGCCTCCTGAATAGCTGGGACTACAGGTGTACAGCACCATGCCTGGCTAATTTTTGGACTTTTAGTAGAGATGGGGTTTTGTCATGTTTGCCAGGTTGGTCTCGAACTCCTGGCCTCAAGTGATCTGTTCACTTCAGCCTTCCAAAGTGCTGGAATTACAGGCATGAGCCACGGTGTTTGGCCATACCTTAATGTATGTACAGTGTCTGGAATATAGGATGTGCTTAATACATATTTGTTAAAAGAGAAAAAGAATGACTACTTGACTTTCTCCCATTACAATTTTTGCTCTTGCCAATCCTTGTTAGGGCTCATTTTCTTCTTCCAGTGATTACAGCACTTTTTCTTTACCCCATTCCTTTGTACTTTTTTTTCATTTCTGAGATTCTATCAACTGATGACAATTTCCATTGTGGCTACAGCTCAATTGTCTAGATGTCTGAAACACGTTTGTTTCACCCACTCTAAATAGAAAGAGAAACATTATTTAATAGTTTTTAAAAAACCTTTCCTTTCCTTTCCTTTCCTTTTCTTCTTTTCCTTTCTTTCTGTTAAATAGTCATTTAGTTGGAGAGTAAAATCTGAAACAACCTGTAAGAAATAGCCAGGAGATAGACAATCAACAGATTTGAATTTTCACAATGTGTTGCCTATTAATTATCTATCATATCAGAAGGAAGTACAATAGGTGAAATTGTTCATGTGGGCATTACTAATACTACTGCTATGATGCACGCCAATAACCAACAGCAGCTGCTGTCTAAAAGAAATTTTTCTTTTTTATTTTTTTATATACATATATTTTATTACACTTTAAGTTCTAGGGTACATGTGCACAAAGGGCAGGTTTGTTACATAAGTATACATGTGCCATGTTGGTGTGCTGCACCCATTAACTCATCATTTAGCATTAGGTATATCTCCTAGTGCTATCCTTCCCCCCTCCCCCCACCCCACAACAGGCCCCAGTGTGTGATGTTCCCCTTCCTGTGTCCAGGTGTTCTCATTCTTCAATTCCCACCTATCAGTGAGAACATGCGGTGTTTGGTTTTTTGTCCTTGCGATAGTTTGCTGAGAATGATGGTTTCCAGCTTCATCCATGTCCCTACAAAGGACATGAACTCATCATTTTTTATGGTTGCATAGTATTCCATGGTGTATATGTGCCACATTTTCTTAATCCAGTCTATCATTGTTGGACATTTGGGTTGGTTCCAAGTCTTTGCTATTGTGAATAGTGCCACAATAAACATACATGTGCATGTGTCTTTATAGTAGCATGATTTATATTCCTTTGGGTATATACCCAGTAATGGGATGGCTGGGTCAAATGGTATTTCTAGTTCTAGATCCCTGAGGAATCTCCACACTGTCTTCCACAATGGTCGAACTAGTTTACAGTCCCACCAACAGTGTAAAAGTGTTCCTATTTCTCCACATCCTCTCCAGCACCTGTTGTTTCCTGACTTTTTAATGATCGCCATTCTAACTGGTGTGAGATGATATCACATTGTGGTTTTGATTTGCATTTCTCTGATGGCCAGTGATGGTGAGCATTTTTTCATATGTCTTTTGGCTGCATAAATGTCTTCTTTTGAGAAGTGTCTGTTCATATCCTTTGCCCACTTGTTGATGGGGTTGTTTTTTTCTTGTAAATCTGTTTGAGTTCATTATAGATTCTGGATATTAGCCCTTTGTCAGATGAGTAGATTGCAAAAATTTTCTCCCATTCTGTAGGTTGCCTGTTCACTCTGATGGTAGTTTCTCTTGCTGTGCAGAAGCTCTTTAGTTTAATTAGATCCCATTTGTCAATTTTGGCTTTTGTTGCCATTGCTTTTGGTGTTTTAGACATGAAGTCCTTGCCCATGCCTATGTCCTGAATGGTATTGCCTAGGTTTTCTTCTAGGGTTTTTATGGTTTTAGGTCTAACATTTAAGTCTTTAATCTATCTTGAATTAATTTTTGTATACGGTGTAAGGAAGGGATCCAGTTTCAGCTTTCTACATATGGCTAGCCAGTTTCCCCAGCACCATTTATTAAATAGGGAATCCTTTCCCCATTTCTTGTTTTTGCCAGGTTTGTGAAAGATCAGGTAGTTGTAGATGTGTGGTATTATTTCTGAGGCCTCTGTTCTGTTCCATTGGTCTATATCTCTGTTTTGGTACCAGTACCATGCTGTTTTGGTTACTGTAACCTTGTAGTATAGTTAGAAGTCAGGTAGCATGATGCCTCCAGCTTTGTTCTTTTGGCTTAGGATTGACTTGTCAATGCAGACCTAAAAGAAATTTTTCATGATGTCTCTTAGGCTCCAAGTAATATAAAGAATCAGCTACTGTCTGTTACTTTCTTACTCCTCCATACCAAACATGCTCTTCAGAGATACCTCTATATAGTGAAGACATGACGGTAATTCCAAGGCAATTTTTTGACAATCTCTTCTGCTTCTGAAGAAACATGTTTCTAGTAAATTCCCCTAGAGGAAAAGAAATAAAAGTTTGGTGCACTAAATTTTCTGGCACGAGGAATGACTTGTTATGTGGCTGCCACCAAAATTTAACTTGTCAGTTTTGGTTTTACTACTTATAAAATATAAAAATGCAAAAAATTATTCTCCATTTTGTATTTTAATACTTGGCCATAGAGAATCCAAGTGTTATTCCTAAACATTATTTGAAAGAATCCAAGTATTATTCCTAAACATTATTTGAAAGAATAAAATATATAAATGACTATATGTTTCAGTTAAATTTTTATAAATAGATCCATTTGCAGCCATTTTTTTAAACAAGAAACATTGTACCAAGATTGTAGCTTGACAAACAGTGGACAATTTAGAAACAGGATTATTTCAGTTCTCAATTTATTTTAGTTCAAAACAGCTAACATTCCTTCTCAAATTCACAAAATGTTCTCCGCATACTCCAAGCATTTTTTACATTATCTCATAAAATATGTTATTTTAGCTGTTCTGTTTTGATAAATATCGATAGAGATTTTCTTGGCTTAAAACAAATCTATGCTGATTTGAAAAATAAGACTTTGATTGGATTGCAGAGGAACTCCAAATGAAGTTATTTGCTTTGTGCTCTCTTTCTCTTTCCATCATTAGGTTCCTAATGCAAATAAAGATCTGTAGGTCCCTAATGCAAATAAAGATCTGTAGGTCAAAAACAAAGATAATGTTAGCCTTTCCCTAAATGCCATCACGAAAATGTCTTAAAACTTATACTAGCTTTATATCTTCAGCAAAAATGTCATTTGCAACTAATCTTCAAATAGTCAATGACAGCCAAATATTTACCAGGCCTGACCTAGATATATTCTTCTGTGATATACCTAGAACTTAAGCCAGAGCAAATTCTTAATTCTTCAAACCAAGCAAAATAACTTTTATATGTAAAAAATTTAATTACAGAAATATGTAATTACATATTAACAGGTGTTTAAAATCAGGCTGCATTATTCTATTTTGTATAACATTGGACTGTTAGGAGCCAGAATGAGAAAATGTGCATAAAATAGCTTTGAAAATAGGACCTTAAGCACATATATTAAAAAATGGCATGTGGGCTAATTTTCAATAGCATTTGAGCTCTTTTCCTTGTCATCTCTGAAAATTTCACCTTTTATTTTTTTCCTTCTGAATATCTCATGAGCTCATGAGCTTGTCAATCTCTCTTTATTACATTCTCTACTCTTTTTCATTCTATCATGAAACACTAGAACAAAAAAGTAGCAGTAGTATATTGCCCTACCTCCACTAAACTGTGGGTTGTTGTCAATTGAATTAAATTTATCTTATAACTACCATCACTTAAAAATGATTTATGAAGTCTTTTTGTAAAAATGCAATATCAAAAAGTCAAGATTAGATAATTAATGTGTAAAAAGATTCTTAGATGAATGTGGGTGTTGATGAACAGAAAAAAAATGATACAGAAAGAAAAAAGTGTTATCACAAAGATTAGGAGAAAATACAAACAATTTTTCTTTTCAGTAATAAAATAATGCAGATTATTCATAGATTGTTTGTTTTGGAGACCAGGAAAGGTACACAGCTAAAGACTGCAGGTCAACTGCATAGCTGAAAAACCACTGGGGTCAGTAAGAGGCCCCCAGTCAAAAATATAGTGAGAGAGTTATAAAATTTATAATCTGAATTTTCCAAACCAACAATAAAAAGATAGAGGTAATATTCTGTCTGAAAATAATTCAATAAATTCTATATAATATGTGGTGGAGTGCCTACCATTTATAAAACACTGTGCCAGACATTAGGTAGGAGTGACAATGATGAATTAAGTATGAACTTGGAATTCAGTCTAAAATCTTCTACCCTAGTAAATCTAGGAATTCGCATACTAGAAATCATAATAAATTCTGACAAATGATCCATACCCTTGTCTTTTAACATTTATATTCAACATACCTGAATAAATATCAATGAAAATATTTATAAAAATAAGGAATTTTGTTTGCAGATCACTTCTAGGAAAAAAACTCTATGACTGTATAGTTTATCTCTGGATGCTATTTAGGAGATGCCATACACGCCTTCCTTAGACTAATTCTCTGTAGGGTAGGGGAATGTGCCATGGGTAAGTTGTCTCAGCATGGGTATTAGTCTTTAATAAATATTTAATAACTTATCCCCAGACAGCAGTGTAAGAGTCATCTACGTACTTTGCATAATGCCTGTAGTGCCTGAGTTCTATGTTGAGTTCTCTTGGAGGGAAACTAGCAAAATCACATAATTTATGCCATTAAAAAATTGTTAACTGGATTCATCATGGAGAGATGCAATGAGAATTAGCACAAATAAATCTACATCATTCAACTTTTGTTTTCTAGGGTTTTTTACACCTAAGCATTATAGCATGTGGTATAGTGACTTATATTTTTAAAAAAATCAGTCTGGAAGATAAAGAAGTGTGGCAAAGAAAGTATCATTAATCATTTTGGGAATTTAAAAATAGTTAAAAACCACTTCTAGTTGTCTGATGTTTCTTCTTTCCCTCGCTCTAGTCTGTTCTTGTGTAGATACCCTGTAAATGTTGGTGTTTCCATGTTCCTGTCTTCACCCTTCTCTTCTTATATGACAGTCACTCTGTGGAATTTCATTTATTCTACATTTACTATGGTATTTTCAAAATAAAAATAAACTTGCTGTTTTTTAGTCTTGAGACCCAAAGCAACGTAGGCTCATGAATAAAGAGAAATTAAGCGTATCTCACCTGTAAAGTAGAAAATTAAATTCTCCCTGAAATTATATTCTTTGAATTTGATGTTTATCCATCATTTGTTTACTGATGGTTTACAAATCCAGCTCTGCTTCTTACCTGCGTTTTAACCATTTATTAAATGATTAACTTGATTTCCAAAGGTTACATAAATGTCAGGATGACCAAGATTGAACCTGGCAGGTTTTGGCCCCACCATCCTAACAAAACACCAATCTAACCTGCTTCATTTCCCTAATTCTTTAACTTAGCTAATCACATGGACATGTAAATAGTCATCTAACCTAGACATCTGTAGTCGTCTTCAACTTACTCTTCAATTTTTATAAATTTTACCTTTTACATATTTCCTGGATACATTACCGCCTGCTATCCTCCTTGTCATTGCTGCTATTTTAGTTTAAGCTCTCATCTCTTACCTGATTTCCTTACTCCTATCTTGCCCTCTTCTAATTCATCCTGTATGAAAGCTGCAGTGATATATCTATTTCAGAGGATATAGTTTAAATTTCTTAACAGGGCATATGAAACCCTTCATGATTTAGTCTAACACCTTAAGTATGCTTCCACTTTCTGACTCAAATCTCCAGTAACATTAAACTGTTGTAATTCTTCCTGCTCTATACACTCACCCACTATTACACAAACACTCAACATTTTATACTAACTCTTTGAGAACTGGGACCATTCCTATCTCACCAATCTTTTTCCAAAGCTGCACAGACTCTGGCAAATGATTGTTCAGGAAATGTTTGAACAGTGAGTGCCAAGGAGCATAAATGGAAGTGACTGAGAATGGAAGAAACAAAATTATCAGTTATGGAATCCGAACCCTTATGTCTCTGCTGTATTGTTTATATTCACTACCTTAGTGGGTGTGGCTTCTCACTTCTAGGAGGGCAATACCCAGTTTTGTAGTTATGACTTTGATCTTTCTCCAACCTCTACTTGGGTGTTGAATATCTCCACTCAGATGTTGGATTTTTATCTTCCCTGCAATGCCATCACCATTTTCCATCTTGACGCTTTACTATGACTGTTCAGTGTTTACCTTTTGTCCTTCCAGAATTCTAATCAATTCTAAAATCTGATACATATTTTTTTGAGACGGAGCCTTGCTCTGTAGCCCAGGCTGGAGTACAGTGGCATGATCTCAGCTCACTGCAACCTCTGCCTCCCAGGTTCAAGCTATTCTTCTACCCAAAATCTGATAAATTCTTTTTGTAGTATTTTTTTCCCTGAAATTATTCCTTTCTTTTAAATTATTCCTGTCTTTCAAGTTAAGTTTAAATTCCGCTTTAAATCCTTATAGCCTTGTTCATAAACATTAGTCTACTGTTAGAATTCCTTCCTTCCTTCTACCCTTTAAAAAAATATCTTAGGCCCAGAGCTGTAGCTCACGCCTGTAATCCCAGCACTTTGGGAGGCTGAGGCGGGTGAATCACTACATTAGGAGTTCAAGACCAGCCTGGCCAAGATGGTGAAACCCCGTCTCTAATAAAAATACAAAAATTATCCAGGCCTGGGGGTGGGCACCTGTAATCCCAGCTACTCGGGAGGCTGAGGCAGAGAACTGCTTGAACCCGGGAGTTGGAGGTTACAGTGAGCTGAGATCCTGCCACTGCACTCCAGCCTGGGCAACAGAGTGACACTCCATCTCAAAAAAAAAAAAAAAAAAAAAAATCTTAGTCTGATCTGGCTCCAGTCTACTTTTCTTCCTCTTATTATTATTTCTTTTTATTTTATTTCTCTCATAAATAAACATTTTCTCCTAGACAGGGTGGTCTTTCACTAAATGGTCCAAAATTATCTTTCAGAAACTATCTTTTACTAAATAATAGATACTATATAAATTTTTTCTTCTTCTCTCTCTCCCTCTCACTATTTCTGTCTCTATCTCACTCTAGCTTTCTCTTTTATTCTTTCTTCAGCTGTGAAGAACTCATACTTCAATTCTACATGCAACTTTAAAAGTTGAGAGTACATAATTACGTATTAATAAAGCAATAGAAACAAAGATACTGAGTTCTTGGTTCTCTTTTGGGGTCAGTACCCCATGGTATTCTGATCTACCTTATATTGCTTCATGTTCTGCTGCCTCTGCCTCTATAATGACACCTTTAATACATCACAATACCTGTTCACTAAGAAAAGATCAATTCGTGTTTCATTATACTTAATCTTAGGAATCAGGTAGCTGAAGAGTAAGTTACAAGAGAATGGTCATCACAAAAGTTGAAAAATCTTAGAAAGTTATACAATAATGAAGTAGTTTTTTGAAAACTTGTAGTTTAAAACAACTTCTGATAGTTTCCTGTATAGAGTTCTAATTGTATTCTTTTCTACATATTGATCACTATTCAATATTAGGAAAAAAAGTTTTGACTTTGCTTTAGTAGATGAATTTATTGTAAATCTTTTGGAAAGAATCAAATGTCTACCAAGTTAATACAATAGTAATTGGAATTTAAAATTTTCTCTCCTAAGAGAAAAAAATTCACATTTGAAAGTATTTAATCTCTTTGAAGAGCTTTAGTTAAATTCAAGACTAAACCATAGGTTGAAAATAGTTCTCTCAGCCCAGTTATTACCTTTTGCTGATGATTTCTCTGTGGTTACTCTGCCTATACGAGAAGATTCTAAAGCTAGAAAGACTATTTGTTTTTTAATAGCTAGTTGGCCAGACCACCAATTGCTTTAAGATGCTGTGGCTCTGAATACAAGTGCAGAGTATTAGATTAATGGCTTTTGCTTTGACCAGCAAGAACAGGAGAGTTAGGGAATAAAAAGCAGGACCCCTGTTTTCCCCATGGCAGAACTCTTTGTTCCCTGAACCACGGGGAGGATTAGTCTGAATAGTGGTGTGTAAAATGGATTCAGTCCCATAGATCTTATCACCTTTTATCACTCCAGTAAGTGAGGGTTCAATTTAATAAGACATGGTATTAGCCGTATTTGCTTTGTTTAGGACTTTTATATAGATTAGCAATCCTGGACTCTTTTTTCTGGTTTTCTTTTTTTTGTTGGAAGGGGACAGATGATAGTGTGATTAGCACTTTAAAAAAGTAATGGCAGTAGGGGTGGAGGAGATTTGGAAGGTATAGCTTTGATAAATATCGGGGGTTTGGGACTCACAGGAAGAAGACACTGTGTCATAACTTCTTTGTTCTGAAATCTTGTGATCAGGATCTTTCAGGGAAGTCTCAGTGGTTTTTGGTTTCTGTTAAATGGAAAACAAGCAAAAAAGATCTCTCTTTGGTTACATTCTGCTACTAAATTGTCTATCAGTCAATCTGCAGTCTCACAAACAGAAATTGAATGAACACAAAAGCAATTTTCCTAGTTGGGATTCTGGGCCCCTATCCACAATGCCAACAACTACCACCCTCCCTTCTAAACTCACAATCTCTATCTCTGTTTAGTATTTAATTTCCTTTCAGCAAACATTTATTGAGTGCCAAGCATTGAACTAGGTGTTGGAAGGGAATACAAGATGAATATAAAACCTGGCCTCTGCCTTGTTTTTACCACCTTAGAACTGCAATTGTATCTCATAGAATGATTTGTTTGTTTAGTGATCTAGATTAGAAACTAGCCACACAGAATACACCTGGAGGCATAACTAAGTAAAAACAATAAATAAAACAAGTTATAGGCTACAGGGTCATGTTACAGCATAAGGGAGATAGCAACTTGAGCAACACCTGGATACTGGATACTGAAGAATTACAGTGCAAATGCTGTCATGTGGTTCCTCCCACATGGCCTTAGTTCTTAGTGCCACTCAGAGTTAAAACATACACACGCACACATACACCTGCAAACTGCTTCTCTCTGCAACCAGACATACATGCACAAAAGATATCCAATGACTTGATCAGCATTTGACATTTGAATAATTAATAGTTTCGGAGCCTCTTGTCTTTTCAATTTAAACTTAAACTGCAAATATCAAAATTGAAACAAACGGAGCCTGTTTTATTCTTTTGTCTAATAAAATTATGACAAAAATTTGCAAAACTTACCCTTTTCTTCTAAAGAGATTTAAGAAATGCACTATACAGATATTTTCTTTTCTGCTGCTATGTAAATTAGAGAACACACAAATATTTTCATCTTTGCTTTAGAGATAAACTGAGGCGTTGAACTTTGTAATACTTCAAAAAGCCAGGAAACCACAATTAGAACTTCTAATTTCAGATCTAGAATCTGCATTGGACAAGATGAGATTCAGGACACACCACGCCAAAATATGACTGTAGGACACCAGATATGCCCCCTAAAATACATTTCTTTGGCATATTTTGAGCTGGTTATTATGAGAAACTGCAGACACAGGAGTAGCTCTGAAAGCTGCTTTTTTTTTGTAATGGAAATTTACAATTATAAGGAAAATCTACATTAGTAAAGTATCTGTATCAGGAAGAGAGCCATTCCAGACAACTTTTATTACCCAAGATATTTATTGTTTACATAACAGGACAACTTTTAGTCACCATACGTTTCTTCCCCTCACTTTCTCACACCTTGTATCATCAGCTCTACCCGCTAGAAAACCCAAACTCTTATTCTTTTCTGTAGCTCAGGACACTGCGTAAACTTCAATCATCTGACCCTTCCTTGAGTCTCATGTTTCATGCACTTCCTTGCATATATGTGTAATTAGATGCTTTTTCTCCTGTTAATCTGCTTTATGTTAATTTAATTTGTAGTGCAGCCAAAGAACATGGAAGGTTAGAGGGAAGCCATTTTTCCTTCCTCTACAGAGGCAAAAATAAATTGCTCATAAAAGACACTTCTGTTAATGTTCTTTGGTCTTAATTAGCTTTTTACCCAGATTTTAACACATACAAGAAATCACAAAAGCAAAGTGACTGTACTGTGCAGTAGGAAGAGAGTGAACTCCCCACCTTCCTCCCACCATTTGTTTGAGCAGAGCTGGTTGGATAGGAAAATAATTGGGGAGTAAGAGGAAATCTTTTAAAGTATAAACTGGTACATATTGCTCTTTTTACAGGTTGAACCAAAGAGAAATTGTTCTTAGGAAACAACTTTTCAGAGGCAGAATGATGGCCACTGTTGATAAAGAGAGTCAAGCTCTGTAAAATCTTTGAAGAAATTTATTCTGAGCCAAATGTGGGTGAGCATGGCCCGTGACACAGCTCTCAGGAGATCCTGAGAACATGTGCCAAGTTGATTGGGGTGCATCTTGGTTTTATACATTTTAGAGAGATAAGGCTTCAATCAAATACATTTAAGAAATATATTGGTTTGGTTCAGAAAGGTGGCACAACTCGAAGTGGGCTGGCGGGGGCTTCCAGCTTATAGGTAAATCTAAAAATTTCCTGGTTGACAATTGGTGGAGTTTATCTAAAGACCTGAGATCAGTAGAAAGTAGTGTCTGGGTTATGATAAGAGGTTGTGGAGACCAAAGTTCTTATTTGCAGAGGAAGCTTTCCAGTAGTAGGCTTCAGAGAAATTAAGTTGTAAAATGTTTCTTATCAGACTTAAAGGTGTCTGTTGATGTTAATGCTAGAGAGGTATAGAGGCATGTCTGACCGTCATTTCCCATCATGGCCTGAAACGATCTCAGGTTAAATTTTAAAATGACCCTGGCCAAGAAGAAAGTTCAATCAGATGGTTAGGAGGCTCTAGAATTTTATTTTTGGTTTACACCGCTATCTTAGATTTCTTCCCAAATTCATTACTATAGGAAGATGACTTAAAATGGTCATCTATGGCTACCTAGCCCAGCTTTAGTCCTCTGATGATTGAGAGTCCAGATATCTTCAATTTAGTATATTAATGGGCTTTAATAAGACACAATTTTAAAAATTGCTATACTTCCAATATGCTGAAACAATTTTATAAATTTTATGAATTGTTTAGGCTTTTTCCCTTCATACTTCCAAACAGTTTGCAAATAGCTAAGAAATTCACTGTGACAATTTAAGCAGCTTGCTCTTGATGCAGTGTCTAACATGTTTTGACAGATAGGGGCGCTTTCCAGCACATAAACTGCTATTGTGTTTCAGCACAACTCAAGCTTCAACCACCTGGATTAGAAACAAATGTGGGATATTTTCTTGGCAACAGCTACTGCTTTTGGCTTTACTAAAAAGAATCTTGCAGGTATCACTATTAGATGAAGAAAGGAGGGGCTTACATTTCAAAAAATACTCTTAGCGATCCTTAGGCCTGAGAATGGCTTCAAATAAAAGTCCAGTCTTTCCTCCCTGTTTCCAAGCAGAATTAAACCCACTTCAGGCAAACATTTATTTGCATGTCATGGAATCAGGCATTTCCCCAATAGAGTCTCATCTCTTGGGTTATGTATTATCTCTAAAGATAACCTTTTAAAATATAAATAGGCTTGAGATGAAGTAAGGTTTAATGGAAAGAGAATAAGATATAGAATCGGAGGGACTTTCTTTCATGTCCCAACTTCGTCTCTGACTCTGTGTACAACTTGGAATACTTTTCCTAATCACTCTGAACCTCACCTTCCTCATTTGCAAAACGGGGATAATAACAGCTTTATAAATAATTGAAAGACTAAATGGCATACCCTACGTAAACTTTCTAGCATAGCGTTTAGCACTAGATATGATTTTTTATTTTATCCTCATATCAGCATTATGAGAAAAATGCAATCTCTGTTTCACAGAAGAATCTAAAGTTCAAAGTGGTAATGTGCTTTCTCCAAGTACCTATGTTAAGTAAAAAGAATAGCCTGGGTAGTCAAATAACATTTTATTAAAGCAAATAAACTTTGGAAACATCACATGTTCCCAACATTTCAAATCCATCTCTCAGTCACTTCTGGGGTAGATATGGTGTTCATTTTTTCACAGTTCTTAAACCAGTTATGAAGTGAGTAAATAAAATGGAACCTATATTGCCTCCTTAACACATAGTTCTTTATCATTATTGAACACATAGAAATAAATGGCAAGTATTAATTGAATTTCAAACTTTAATAATTTATATGATTATGTATTAAATGCCTGTCTTTTCTGCTGGACTGAAATTTCAGAAAAGCTGGGGAACACATATTTATATACTCTCTTCCCAGTTTCTGGCTCATGGCAATTATCTATAAATATTTAAATTAGGACTGTTAATTAAATAAATAATATTTTCATAGTGAATGAAAGTCTGTTTTTTAAAGTATATTCTTGTTTCTATGTCTGGAATTTTTCTTTTTAATATACATTTCATTTACTTCATCAATAACATCAATTCATATTGATAAATATTTAGAGAATATAGATGAGATGAAATCCAAAATAATGAGATTAAAATGTTATAGTTTGCTTTTTTAAAAAAAATTGAAAATTAATTTTAGTTGGACTTCAGAAAGTGTTTTCCTGGACACTTGTTGGCCTAACCGCTGGGTTCTTATTACAAGAGGTAAAGTGCAATAATAACATCCTTTTCTTCTAAGTTTCAGCCAGATGTCTTAGGGAAAGTTTGCAAAAACCTCTTCATACATTTTTAAGTTTTATTATTGTTTTGATAAGATTTGTTTCATGTGGTATATTAGTCCATTTTTATGCTGCTGCTAAGGACATATCTGAGACTGGGAAGAAAAAGAGGTTTAATTGGACATACAGTTCCGCATGGCTGGGGAGGCCTCAGAATCATGGTGGGAGGTGAAAGGCACTTCTTACATGGTGGCGGCAAGATAAAAATTAGAGAAGATGCAAAAGGAAAACCCCCTGATAAAACCATCAGATTTCATGAGACTTATTTACTACCATGAGAACAGTATGGGGGAAACTGCCTCCATGATTCAAATTATCTCCCACTGGGTCCCTCCCACAACACGTCGGAATTATGAGAGTACAATTCATGATAAGATTTGGGTAGGTACACAGAGACAAATCATATCATGTGGTAACAAATTTTACCAAACCAAATTCCCCTCAGGAATCTTATAATTAATTTTTGATTCTGCCTATTGAGTTTCTCACATTGAAGCAGGAACATTTTAGTATTATGATATATCATAAAAGTTCTATTCTCTTCAGGTTACTTTTCAGCCGTCTCTGGGATATCTGAAGTCTGTAAGTGTCTGAAGCTAAAAACTTTAAGTCCCTTCCACTTATGAGCCTGTAAAATCAAAAGCAAGTTAGTTGCTTCCTAGATAAGATAGGAGAACAGGTATTGGGTAAATACACCTATTCCAAATGGGAGAAACTGGCCAAAACAAAGGGGCTACAGGGCCCATGCAAGTCTGAAATCCAGTGAGGCAGTAACTATATCTTAAAGATCTAAAATTACCTCCTTTGACTCCATGTCTCACATCCAGGTCATGCTGATTCAAGAAGTGGTCTCCCACAGCCATGGGCAGCTCTGTCCCTGTGGCTTTTCAGGGTACAGCCTCCCTCCTGACTGATTTCCCAGGCTGGCATTGAGTGTCTGCAGCTTTTCCAGGCTCATGGTGCCAGCTGTTGGTGGATCTGTTATTCTGGGGTTTGGAGAATGGTGGCTGTCTTTTGATAGCACCACTAGGCTATGCCCCAGTAAAGACTCTGTGTACGGGCTCCATCCCACATTTCCCTTCTGCACTGCACTAGCAGAGGTTCTCCATGAGGTCTCCACCCCTGCAGTAAACTTCTGCCTAGACATCCAGGTGTTTCCTTACATTCTCAGAAATCCAGGCAGAGGTTCCCAAACCTCAATTCTTGACTTCTGTGCACCTGCAGGCTCAACACCATGTGGAAACTGCCTAGGCTTGGGGCTTGCAGCTTCTGAAGCCATGGCCTGAGCTGTACCTTGGCCCCTTTTAGCCACAGCTGGAGCAGCTGGGAAACAGGGCACCAAGTCCCTAGGCTAGACAAAGCACAGTGACCCTGGGCCTGGCCCACAAGACTGTTTTTTCCTCCTGGGCCTGCCTCCACACCTGTGATGGGAGATGCTGCTGCTAAGGTTTCTGACATGTCCTGGAGACATTTTCCCCATTGTCTTGGTGATCAGGATTTGGCTTCTCCTTACTTATTCAAATTACTGCAGCTGAACGGAATTTCTCCTCAGAAAATGGGTTTTTCTTTTCTATTGCATCCTCAGGCTGCAAATTTTTGGAACTTTTATGCTCTGCTGCCCTTTTCAACATACGTTCCAATTCCAAACCATATCTTTGTGAATACATAAAACCAAATGCTTTAAACAGCATGCAGGTTGCATCTTGAATGCTTTGCTGCTTAGAAATTTCTTCCACCAGGTACCCTAAATCATCTCTCTGAAGTTCAAAGTTCCTCAGATCTTTAGGGCAGGGGTAAAATGTCACCAGTGTCTTTGCTAAAACATAGCAAGAGTCACTTTTATTCCAGTTCCCAACAAGTTCCTCATCTCCATCTGAGATCACCTCAGCCTGAACTTCATTGTACACATCACTATCAGCATTGTGGTCAAAGCCATTCAACAAGTCTCCAGGACGTTCCAAACTTTCCCACATCTTTCTGTCTTCTTTTGAGCCCTCCAAACTGTTTCCACCTCTGCTGATTACCCAGTTCCAAAGTTGCGTCCACATTTTTGGGTATCTTTACAGCAGCACCCCAACACCCAGTACCAATTTACTGCATTTGTCCAATCTCACACTTCTAATAAAGCACGGTCATTTTTACAGTATTGATCCTACCAATCTATGTACATGGATGTGTTTCCATTTGTTTGTGATATATATATATATATATATATATATATATATATATATATATATATATATACATTTGCAGCTATGATAGAAGGGGTTGAGTTCTTGATTTGATCTTCTGCTATGTCACTGTTGGTGTATAGAAGAGCTACTGATTTGCATATATTAATCTTGTATCTGGAAACTTTGCTGAATTATTTTATCAGTTCTAGGAGCTTTCTGGAGGAGTCAGAATTTTCAAGGTAAACAATCATATTGTCAGCAGACAGGGACAGTTGGACTTCCTCTTTACTGATTTGGATGCTGTTTATTTCTTTCTCTTGTCTGATTGCTCGGGCTAGGACTTCCAATACTATGTTGAAGAGGAGTGCTGACAGTGAACATCCTTGTCTTGTTCCAGTTATCACAGGGAATGATTTCAACTTTTCCCCATGTGGTATTATGTTGGCTGTGTGTTTGTCATAGATGGCTTTTATTATATTGAGGTATGTCCCTTGTATAACAGTTTGGCTGAGAGTTTTAATCATAAAGGGATGCTGCATTTTGTCGAATGCTTTTTCTTCATCTATTGAGATAATCACGTAATTTTTGTTTTTAATTCTGTTTATGTGGTGTATGACATTTATTGACTTGAGTATGTTAAACCATCCCTGCATCCCTGATATGAAATGTGCTTGATCATGGTGGATTATGTTTTTGATACGTTGTTGGATTCAGTTAGCTACTATTTTGTTAAGGATTTTAGCATCTATGTTCATCAAGGATATCAGTCTGTAGTTTTCTTTTTTGGTTATGTCCTTTCCTGGTCTTGGCATTGTGGTGATGCTGACCCCATAGAATGAATTAGGAATGGTTCCCTCTTTCTCGATCTTGTGGAATAGTGTCAAAAGGATTGGTACAAATTCTTCTTTGAAGGTTTGGTAGAATTCTGCTGTGAATTTGTTTGGTCCATGACTCTTTTTCTTTGTAATTTTTAAATTACCATTTCAATCTTGCTGCTAGTTATTGGTCTGTTCAGGGTATCTAATTCTTCCTGATTTAAGCTAGGAGAGTTGTATTTTTCCAGGAATTTATCCATCTCTTCTAGGTTTTCCAGTTTATGTGCATAAAGGTGTTCATAGTAGCCTTGAATGATCTTTTGTATTTCAGTGGTGTCAGTTGTAATATCTCCCACTTCATTTCTGAATGAGGTTATTTGGATTTTCTCCATTCTTTTCTTGGTTAATCTTGCTAATGGTCTATCAGTTTTATTTATCTTTTCAAAGAACCAGCTTTTCATTTTATTTATCTTTTGTATTTTTTTTTTTGCTTGTTTGTTTCAATTTCATTTAGTTTTTCTCTGATCTTGGTTCTTTCCTTTCTTCTGCTGGATTTGGGTTTGGTTTGTTCTTGTTTCTCTAGTTCCTTGAGGTATGACCTTAAAATGTCTCTTTGTTTTCCTTCAGTCTTTTTGATGTAGGTGTTTCGGGCTATGAACTTTCCTATTAGCACTATCTTGGCTGTATGCCAGAGGTTTTGATAGGTTGTGTTATTATTGTCGTTTAGTTGGAAGAATTTTTTAATTACCATCTTGATTTCATTTTTGACCCAATGCTCATTCAGGAGCAGGTTATTTAATTTCCATGTATTTGCATGGTTTTGAAGGTTTCTTTTGGAATTGATTTCCAGTTTTATTTCACTGTGGTCTGAGAGAATGCTTGATATAATTTCAATTTTCCTAAATTTATTATGGTTCATTTTGTGGCCTACCATATAGTCTATCTTGGAGAAAGTTCCATGCACTATTGAATAGAATGTGTATCCTGTGGTTGTTGGATGGAATGCTCTGTATATATCTATTAAGTCCATTTGTTCCAAGGTGTAGTTTAAATCCGTTGTTTCTTTGTTGGCTTTCCGTCTTGATGACCTGTCTAGTGCTGTCAGTCGAGTTGTGAAATCCCCCACGATTATTGTGTTGCTGTCTATCTCATGTTTTAGGTCTATTAGTAATTGCTTTATAAATTTTGGAGCTCCAGTGTTAGGTGCATGTATGTTTAGGATTGTGATATTTTTCTGTTGGACAAGGACTTTTACCATTGTATAATATCCCTCTTTGTCTTTTTTAACTGCTGTTTCTTTAAAGTTTGTTTTGTCTGATATAAGAATAGCTATCACTGTTCACTTTTGGTGTCCACTTGCAGGAAATGCCTTTTTCCACCCCTTTAATTTTATGTGAGTCCTTTATGTGAGTTTCTTGAAGGCAGCAGGTAGTTGGTTGGTGAGTTCTTACCCATTCTGCAGTTCTTTTTCTTTTAAGTGGAGCATTTAGGCCATTTACATTCAATCTGAGTATTAACATGTGAGGTACCGTTTCCAGGATTTGTTTCAAGATTTAAACCTCCTTTTAGCAGTTCTTGCAGTGGTGGCTTGGTAGTGGCAAATTCTTTTAGCATTTGTTTGTCTGAAAAGGCTATATTTATTCTTCATATATGATGCTTAGTTTCACTGGACACAGGATACAAAATTATTGGCTGATAGTTTTTTTGTTTGAGGAGGCTGAAGATAGGGCCCCAATCCCTTCTAGCTTGTAGGGTTTCTGCTGAGAAATCCGCAGTTAATCTGATAAATTTTCTTTACAGGTTACCTAGTGCTTTTGTCTCACAGCTCCTAAGATTCTTTCCTTTGTCTTAACTGTAGATAACCTGGTGACAATGCGGTTACATGATAATCTTTTGGCAATGAATTTCCGAGGTGTTCTTTGTGCTTCTCATTTTTGGATATCTAGGTCTCTAGCAAGGCCAGGGAAGTTTTCCTTTAATATTTCCCCAAATATGTTTTCCAAACTTTTAGATTTCTCTTCTTCCTCAGGAACACTGATTATTCTTAGGTTTGGTTATTTAACATAATCCCAGACTTCTTGGATGCTTTGTTCATACTTTCTTATTCTTTTGTCTGTCTTTGTTGGATTGGGTTAATTTGAAGTCCTTGTCTTTGAGCTTTGAATTTCTTTCTTCTACATGTTCAATTCTATTGCTGAGACTTTCCATAGCATTTTGCATTTCCATAAGTATGTCCAATGTTTCCTAAAGTTTTGATTGTTTTTTATTTATGCTATCTATTTCCTTGAATAGTTCTCCCTTCACTTCTTGTATTGTTTTTTGGATTTCCTTGCATTGGGCTTTGCCTTTCGCTGGTGCCTCCCTGATTAGCTTAATGATTAACCTTCTGAATTCTTTTTCAGGTAAATCAGGGATTTCTTCTTGGTTTGGATCTATTGCTGGTGAGGTAGTGTGATTTTTTTGGGGAGGGTGTTAAAAATCCTTATTTTGTCATATTAGCAGAGTTGATTTTCTGGTTCCTTCTCTTTTTGGTAGGCTCTGTTAGAGGGAAGGTCTAGGGCTGAAAGCTGTTGTTCAGATCCTTTTGTCCCATGGGGTGTTCTCTTGATGTAGTACTTCCCCACTTTTCCTATGAACGTGGCTTCCTGAGGAAGGAAAAATCAGCTGTAGTGATTGTTATCTCTCTTCTAGGTCTAGCTACCCTGCATGTCTGCCAGGCCCTGGGTTGGTACTGGGGTATATCTGCACAGAGTCCTGTGATGTGAACCATCTATGGGTCTCTTAGCTGTGGATACTAGCACCTGTTCCAGTGGAGGTGAAAGGGGAGTGAAATGGACTCTGTGAAAGTTCTTAGCTTTGGAGGTTTAATGTTCCATTTTTGTGCTGGTTGGTTGCCTTCCAGGAGGTGACACTTTTCAGAGAGCATCAGCTTTAGTAGCATGGAGAGAAATAGGTTTCGGGCAGGGCCCTAGAACTCCCAAGATTATATGCCTTTGGCTTCCACGACCCGGGTGAGTAGGGAAGGACCATCAGGTAGGGGCAGGGCTAGACTCTCCTTGGGCAGGTCTTGCTGTGGGTGCTTTGGATGATGGAGGTGAGGTTCCCAGGTCAATGGAGTTATGTACCTAGGAGGATTATGGCTGCATCTGCTGAGTCATGAAGGTTGTTAGGAATGTAGGGGAAAGCCAGCAGTCACAGGCCTTACCTAGCTCCCACACAATCTGAAGGGCTGTGCCCTTCCCACTGTGTACCCACCCCCGCCCCACCAAACGTTTCCAGGCAGAGAGAGCCATATGGCTTGAAAATCTGCCCCAAGCTACCTGCCTCCAAGCTGTGAAAGAAAAGGGCTTGGTTCCTCCCGCTCCTGTGGAGTCTGCATACTGGATTCACACTCTTCCCGGAGTTCTGGCCAGGAGGCTTCTCTCCCTGTTGAAATTGTCACAAAGTTCAGGTAGATATTTGCTTCTCCCTGTGTAGTTTTACCCCTTGCTTCTCTCCCATTGGATCCCTGTGGTGCCAGGAAGGAATGGCCTGCTAGGGGACCCAGTGAGCTCCCAGGGCCTTTCTGCTGCTTTCTCTACCCCTGTATTTTGCTCAGCTCTCCAAATTGATTCTGCTCCAGGTAATGTCAGAAACTTCTCCCACAAACAGACCTTCAGCTTCTTTAGTGGGAGTATGTGTTAGGGAGAGGAGGGTCTCCCTTTCCCACTTCTGCAGTTGGGGCACTCACAATTTTGTGGGGGTCTCCTGGTTCTTGCAGGAGCAGTCTGCTTCCTTCAGAAGGTCTGTGGGTCCTCTGGGGATTGCTGGTTTGTTCTTGCAGTAGGTCTGGAGCTATAATTCACATTGTGAGCCACCACCCACTGCTCTGTCTGGAGCTGCCAAGGTATGTCCTTTCTATGCTGATTTTGCCTAGGGTTTTAATCATAAAGCAATGCTAGATTTTGTCAAATACTTTTTCTGTGTCTATTGAGGTAATCATGTGATTTTTAACATATGATCATGTAAATCATATGTTAAACCATTCCTGTATCCCTGATATGAAACCCACTTGATTATGGTGGATTATATTTTTGATATGCTGTTCAATTATGCCAGCTACTATTTTGTTGAGCATTTTTGCATCCATGTTTATAGGAGTATTGGTCTGTAGCTTTCTTTTTCATTTTCTTTTTTTTTTGTTTTGTTATGTTCTTCCCTGGCTTTTTTTTTTATTAGGGTGATACTGGCTTCATAGAATGATCTAGGGAGGATTCCCTCTGTCTCTATCTTTTGGAATAGTGTCATTAGGATTGGTACCAATTCGTCAATGAATGTGACAGAATTCAGCTTTGAATTTTCTGGTCCTAAATTTTTTTTACTGGTAATTTTTAAATTACCATTTCAATCTCACTGCTTGTTATTGGTCTGTTCAGAGATTCTATACCTTCCTGATTCAATCTAGGAGAGTTGTATATTTTCAGAAATTTATCCATCTCCTTTGGGTTTTCTAGTTTATGTGTGTAAATGTGTTCATAGTAGCTTTGAATAAATATTTTGTATTTATGTGGTATCAATAGTGATATCTCCAGTTTCATTTCTAGTTGAGCTTATTGAGATCTCTTTTCTTTTTTTGGTTAATCTCACTAACGGTCTATCAATTTTGTTTACCTTTTCAAAGAACCAGCTTTTCGTTTCATTTATCTTTTGTATTTTGTTTGTTTGCTTATTTCAATTCTATTTTGTTCTGCTCTGGTCTTTATTTCTTTTCTCCTCCTCGCCGTGGGTTTGGATTCTTCTTATTTCTCTAGTTACATGAGGTGTGACCTTAGATTGTCTATTTGTGCTCTTTCAGACTTTTTGGTGCAGGCATTTAATGCTATGAACCTTCCTATTAGCACGGCTTTTGCTGAATCCCAGAGGTTTTGATAGGTTGTGTCACTATTATCTTTCAGTTCAAAGTATTTTTTTAATTTCCATCTTGATTTCATTGTTGACTCAATGATCATACAAGAGCAGGTTATTTAATTTCCAAGAATTTGTATGGTTTTGAGGCTTCCTTTTAGGGTTGGTTTCCAATTTTATCCCACTGTGGTCTGAAAGAGTACTTTATGTAACTTCGATTTTCTTAAATTTACTGATACTTGTTTTGTGGCCTATCATGTGGTCTATCTTGGAGAATGATCCATGGGCTGATGAATAGAATGTATATTCTGCAGTTATTGGGTAGAATGTTCTATAAATATCTGTTAAGTCCTTTTGTTGTAGGGAATATTTTAGGTCCATTGTTTCTTTGTTGACTTTCTGTCTTGATGACCTGTCTAGTGCTGTCAGTGGAGTATTGAAATCCCCCACTATTATTGTGTTGCTGCCTATCTCATTTTTTAGGTCTAGCAGTCATTGTTTTACAAATTTGGGAGCTCCAGTGTTAGGTGCATGCATATTTATAGTTGTGATATTTTCCTGTTGGACGACTCCTTTTATTATTATATAATGTCCTTCTTTGTTTTTATTTTACTATTATACTTTAAGTTTTAGGGTACATGTGCACAATGTGCAGGTTAGTTACATAAGTATACATGTGCCATGCTGGTGTGCTGCACCCATTAACTTGTCATTTAGCATTACGTATATCTCCTAATGCTATCCCTCCCCCCTCCCCCCACCCCACAACAGTCCCCAGAGTGTGATGTTCCCCTTCCTGTGTCCATGTGTTCTCATTGTTCAATTCCCAACTATGAGTGAGAATATGTGGTGTTTGGTTATTTGTCCTTGCGATAGTTTACTGAGAATGATGATTTCCAATTTCATCCATGTCCCTACAAAGGACATGAACTCATCATTTTTTATGGCTGCATAGTATTCCATGGTGTATATGTGCCACATTTTCTTAATCCAGTCTATCATTGTTGGACATTTGGGTTGGTTCCAAGTCTTTGCTATTGTGAATAGTGCCGCAATCAACATACGTGTGCATGTGTCTTTATAGCAGCATGATTTATAGTCCTTTGGGTATATTATAACTGCTGTTGCTTTAAAGTTTGTTTTGTCAGGTATAAGAACAGCTTTTCCTGCTCGCTTTTGGTGTCCATTGCATGGATATCTTTCTCCACTCTTTTATCTTAAGTTTATGTGAGTCCTTATGTGTTAGGTGAGTCTCCTGAAGACAACAGAAACTCAACTGGTAAATTCTTATCCATTCTGCCATTCTGTATCTTTTAGGTAGATCATTTAGGCCATTCACATTCAATGTTAGTATTGAAATGTGAGGTACTATTCTACTCATCATGCTGTTTGTTGCCTGAATACTTCTTTTCATTGTGTTATTGTTATATAGGTCTTGCAAAATTTATACTTTAAGCAGGTTCCATTTTGGTGTATTTTCAGGATTCATTTCAAGATTTAGAGCTCCTTTCAGCAGTTCTTGTAGTGCTGGCTTGATAGTGGTGAATTCTCTTAGCATTTGTTTGTCTTGAAAAGACTGTCTTTCCTTCATTTGTGAAGCTTAGTATCACTGGTTACAGAATTCTTGGCAGATAATTGTTTTGTTTAGGAAGGCCAAAAATAGGTCCCCAGTCCCTTCTAGCTTGTAGGGTTTCTGGTGAGAAATCTGTTAATTTGAGAGATTTTCTTTATAGGTTACCTGATGCTTTGCCTCACAGCCCTTAAGATTCTTTCCTTCATCTTGACTTTAGATACCTGATGACCATGTGCCTAGGCGATGATATTTTTGTAATGAATTTCCCAGGTGTTCTTTCAGCTTCTTGTATTTGGATGTCTAGATCTCTAGCAAGGCCCGGGAAGTTTTTCTTGATTATTTCCTCAAATATGTTTTCCAAACTTTAGATCTCTCTTCCTCCCCAGGAAAACCAATTATTCTTAGGTTTCGAGGTTTAACATAGTTCCAAACTTCTTGGAGGCTTTGTTCATTTATTTTTATGATTTTTCTTTGTCTTTGATGGACTGGGTTAATTTGAAAGCCTTATCTTTGAGCTCTGAAGTTTTTTCTTCTGCTTGTTCAATCCTATTGCTGAGACTTTCCAGTGCATTTGGCATTTCTCTGTGTCCTTGATTTCCAGAAGTTATGTTTTTTGTTTAAATGCTCTCTATTTCACTGAAGAAATTTTCTTTCATATACTGTATCATGTTGTTGATTTGCTAAGGTTAGACTTCACCTTAGGGAAGTGGGGAAAAACCAGCAGTCACAGGCCTCACTCTGCTCCTACGCAGCCCACAGTCCTAAAGGCCGGTCTCACTTCCACCATGTCCTAACAACAGCACTGAGTCTTTCCAGGCAGCCGGTGACTAGGGCTAAGAACTTGCCCCAGACCAGGAGCCTCCCCATTGAGAAGCAAGCAGACTCATAGTTTTTCAGCTTCTCAGGGAGCCTGCAGTGGTGATCCAGTTCCTTTGAAGTGTCTGTGGATTCTCTCAGCTTTCCTGGTATGTTCCTGTGGTAGTTCTTTTTTTTTTTTTGAACTCTACCCTTGTATTTTATTAAAAGGGCAAACATCATGAATTAGCCCAGCTGCTTACTTGAGTTACAAAAGTAACATGATTCAATATGACAATAAGAAACTGTCTACAAATCTCTGACAGTAATAAATTGCAATATACAATGCATTCGAGAGTCATACAGACCAACAAACTCTCAGACAAAACAAAAATATTTTAATACCTGGCTGGGCGCGGTGGCTCACACCTGTAATCCCAGCACTTTGGGAGGCTGAGGCGGGCGGATCACGAGATCAGGAGATCGAGATCATCCTGGCTAACATGGTGAAACCCTGTGTCTACTAAAATATACAAAAAATTAGCCAGGCATGTTGGTGGGCACCTGTAGTCCCAGCTACTCAGGAGGCTGAGGCTGGAGAATGGTGTGAACTCAGGAGGTGGAGCTTGCAGTGAGCTGAGATTGTGCCACTGCACTCCAGCCTGGGTGACAGAGGGAGACTCTTGTCTCAAAAAAAAAAAAAATATATATATATATATATATTTTTTTTTTTTCTTTTTCAATACCTTTAAAATCTAAATTTTTCTTTAAAATCATTGATGAAAAAGATTCTCAAGTCAGAATTAACACCTCAATTAGTGAAGCATCAGGAAGCTACATTACAGCTATTTAATATACAAAGATACATCTTTCACCAGTCATTTTCTTCTGATGTCTGTGTTCCAGAATCATACAGACTCTTATTTCTCTATACCCTTCATTCCATCATTTCTTCAGATCATGTAAACTGAATTTGTTGAACACCAGAAATCTGTTGTGTAAACCATAACATTTTGTTGCTGACCATCTGTGGTTATTAAGCCAGCTGGTAACTGGTTAGTAAATGCCTCTTCTGTAAGCTCTTCACTTAGTCCATCTGTAGCTGTGACTGCTCCACCAACTCCCTTTTCTCCTTTCATAGCCTCTCTGAATTTTTGAAGATATAATTTCAGAGGTTCCACGTAACTGTCTAGGCCTAAGGTAGACATGGTGATATGGTTTGGCTGTATCCCCACCAAATCTCAACTTGAATTGTATCTCCCAGAATTCCCACTTGTTGTGGGAGGGACTTAAGTGGGGGTAATTGAATCATGGGGGCTGGTCTTTCCTGTGCTGTTCTCATGATAGTGAATAAGTCTCGTGAGATGTGATGGGTTTATCAGGGGTTTCTGCTTTTGCTTCTTCCTCATTTTCTCTCATGTAAGAAGTGCCTTTCGCCTCCCACCATGATTCTGAAGCCTCCCCAGCCATGTGTAACTATACGTCCAAGTAAACCTTTTTCTTCCCAGTCTCGGGTATACCTTTATCAGCAGCATGAAAACAGACTAATACACATGGCAAACAGAATGTCTTCTCCATTGATTGTTTTCTGTTTCTCTTGATGGCACCTTTCACTTGCTTCAGATGTTATAAAGCTGATGAGCTCACTTACACATTCTTGAACACATTCTTTGACATCTTTTGCAATCTTTCCTGTTTGAGGTATGGCATTTTTCATTATCCTAGCCACGTTTGTTATTGGAAGATACATATCTTGTTCTCTGAAACTTACTTTTGAACCATTTGTGTCCTCTTGATCACTCATGCTCTCCTCAGTATCATCATGAGGCTGTATAACATAATGACTTCCTCCAATATAGTCTGCACAGGTTCCTAGTTGAGAGGCATCTGTTGTAGAACTGTCATCATCCATTGTCATGAAATATTGTCGAAACTGTTGTCAGTGGTGCTGAAGAACACCTGTCTAAAATGGTGTCTACTGTTTGCTATTTCAACCTCCAATGCAGTCCTGGTTGGCTCCCATCTCCAATCTGCTGTTTTGCTGGAGCTGTTCCTGAGGCAATTCTGAGACTAAAAGTTCATGATGTGGGTTTCCACACACTGCTCCATCCTTCTGAGCAGGAGCTGCAAGTTAGTCCTGCGTCCTATCTGCCATCTTAATCTTCTACTCATACATATACATACATATATTTGATTTCCATCATCTTCTTCTCTCTATATTTTCTTAGCTTTTTTCCTTAAAAAATATTTTTTGTTCCAGTTTTTGGTTTCTCCTTTTTACATTGAAACAGTTTTTAAATAATTGTTGATCTTGATCTTTCCATTCATAGTCTATTCATATTCAAGAGGCACCAAAAAGCTCATTAGAAGTCAAATCTCTATGGGGAGAGTGGGCCTGTTGTTTGGTGGATTCATGAACACCATAGTGTTTGGAAAGAGAGTCAGCCTTTTAATTGAAGGACCTACAAAGTGTCACAATAGGAACACTTTTTTGGGGGGGAGGGTATAGATTTATACCCAAGAATCTCTTTTTTCCAGCTTTTTGTGGTAGGGTGCAGAGAGAGGAGGATCCTTATACTCAGTTGCTGGAATCCTGAGCGAGGCAAGGAGAAGGACAGAAAAAAGAGAAAAGAAAGTGGAGAGAAGTTTGCATACCTCACTGTATTTTTCATTCACATACTCTCTCCTGCTCTCTGCTGTGCTCTGTTACAAAGTCCAGAGCCTTCCTGAGGATAGCCGACTATTCTCCTGCCAGTGAAGATGTATGTGAGAAATAATCTTCTGGCTACAGGCATGTAGGAGAGGATCTGGGTGTTCCAACTCCCATGTTTACAGTCATCTAACTAATCTTAGTCTTTTCAGACCTCAACCCACCCCACCTTCCTTGGCATCTGGTGCTCCCAATAGCTGAGGCTCTCAAAGGCTTTGGGAGATTACCTGATGGTTTAAGTTTACCTTCAGCACCTGGATTTCCTTACTTTGCCCAAGAGAGTCTGTTACCATGACTCCTTCTGCACTACAAGGACCCTATTTGTCACTGTAGGTTAATAACAATTTTTATTTTCTTCAGTATCATTTCTGCATTTTACTGCCAATACCTCAGACTATAACAATATAAGCCATCTCCCTTTTCTTCTGATTGTGTTATCTTTTCAAAGTATTAGGTTGCTGCAAAAGTAATTGCAGTTTTTGCCATTACTTTTAATGGCAAAAAAACTCATGTTTTCATACATCCTATTGAGCAGCAAAATATTTTAAAAATGTGTCTGGTGTCTGGAGTTCATAAGTGATCTCTAATTCTGACTTATAGTATAATACTAAAAATATTCACTTTCTCTTGTTCTGCAGAATTTTTTGAGGCCATAGTACTGGTACTTCTATATTTAGTTAGCTGCACTGTACATACTGTTGTTTAAGATCTCTCCTAAATTCTACAATATTATGCTTATTTGTGCAGTTCTCCACAGCCTTTTCTGCTCAGCCCATTTTGCTGGGCTGTGGTGGGATCTTCAAGTTCTTTCCACTATGAAATGTTTGAACTCCTTGTATTAATAGATGAAGTGCCAGAAGATGGCTATTTCCAATAGTCTTCCTGAGTTTCCCTCTTTTACTTTTCTTTCTCTTTTTGCTCTCTTTTTCCAAGTTTTTTCCTGAGTTCTTATATAGCACTGCCAGCCCCCTGCTATTTCCTCCCAAGTCACTTTCAGGAACTTACTATCTTTTTCTGGCTAGAAACAGGCATTCATTGATGAGTATAGGTATATCAGACTGACTCCAGGGGACAGTCAGAGTTCTCACACATATCATGGATGGCTGCTTATTTTCATCAATTTTCAAATTTGTGCAGCTGTTGCCTTTCTGAGCCTTTGGGCTCAGAAGGAAGAGAAGAATGGTGAACGTGGTTCTTGCTTTCATAATGCTCAGCATAACACCGATGGGTCAATGTTTACATATATATTTAGGGGATTTCCAATGAATGTCAGCAATAGATGTATTTCTGCTTAATTTTCAGTGCTATTTTAAATTCTGGTTATCTTTTGTCTCAGTAAATATTTTAAGGGGGAAGTCAGGAGATTTTTTTTGTCTTTTACAAAACACCATATAAAGTGAAGATTTCATATAGTCTTATTTACATTTAAAACAGTGATGCTAGTACATTTTCGTTTACTCACCACATATGGTAAACGTGGTTCAGTAAGAGTAAAGGCAAATTTTGGAAATAGTTCCTAATATAATACATAAACAAGTGGGGGTCAATGTTTACTGTATTTTAAGATGGACAAAAAAAATACTTTCTTACATTTTGCCTTCCAAACTCTTCGTAGTATGTAAAACTCCTAGGGCAAAATGTCATTTTCAATGCTTTGTAAAAAGAATACTTGATATTGGCCAGGCACAGTGTCTCACGCCTGTAATCCCAGCGCTTTGGAAGGCCAAGGCGGTCAAATCACTAGGTCAGGAGTTCGAGACCAGCCTGGCCAACATGGTAAAACCCCGTCTCTACTAAAAATACAAAAAATTAGCTGGGCGTAGTGGTGGGTGCCTGTAATCCCAGCTACTTGGGAGGCTGAGGCAGGAGAATCGCTTGAACCCAAGAGGCGGAGGTTGCAGTGAGCCAAGATAGCGTCACTGCACTCCAGCCCTGGTGACAGAGTGAGACTCCATCTAAAAAAAAAAAAAAAAAGAATACTTGATATCTATGAAATAAGGTGGCCAGAAGGAAAAAGGAGTCGTCAGATGTAGAAAAAGACACATTAAAGTTTTATTTTTAAGTTCCACCAGAGTTATTTGAATATACTTTTTAGTTAACTAAAGTTGTAATTGTTATCATAGGCAAAAAAGAAAATTAAAATAGTGAGTATATTACACCTCATAAAGATGGAAACAAGAAATATCTAATAGAAAAACTTTAGCAGCCAAACGAGGTCTCTCTGACAGTTGTTTTTATTGACCTGTGGTAGAAAAATAGCATCAACATTCATTTCCTGAGTGCGGTGCAGTGTAATAGTTAAGAGCAGAGTTTTGGGAATCAGACGATACCTTAATGTAATATTGAGAAAATTATTTAAGCTGTCTGATAAACTTTTAGATTCTCAAATTCCTCCTTTGCAAAATGTACAATTATAGGTTTTTATTAAGGACTAAATGAGGCAATGTACGTAAAGCATATGGCAGTACTTCCTACACAGTAAATGCTTAATAAATGGTGCAAGTTTTTTAAAAAATATGTTCTATGAACTAATACTCTGAGAATTTTTTTTAATGAATTTGGATCTGTGACTTTTGAAAATGTGCCTTCCTTTCATCAGGCTGGTTGGCCAATGCCATGTGGGTTGCCTGTTCTTACTTGTTCAATGGAACTAGTAAAAAAAATGATGTTGCTTTGATTGGAGAGAAATGAGTTTCATATCCCTGATTTCTAGAATATTGTGAGTGTGTAATAATTATTTATTGAATTAATACCAAAAATTAAACCAGCCCATCTTTATTTACTAGATCCATTTGTGTTTAACCTGTAGAGTATCTAAGTAATGCTTGAGTATTACCATTTACCTCTAAACTTCACTCTTCAATATTAATATAGATGAAGGGTATTGATATTGATTATTTATCTGTGTAATTATGAGTTGAAATGCTCCCCCTGTTCTTCAGGTAGAAGATAATTTAGACATTTTTCATGTAAAGATTACCTCTGATTTTCTCTGAAAAACTGCAAAGAAGAGTTTCATATCTCCCTTTGTCTCTTTTTCCAGTAGGTGATGTGTGAGGCACTGGGCTCATTAAGGGATTTAAAGGACAACAATACATACTCTCTGTCTCTAAAAAGCTTGTGAGACCTTTGGAGATATAAGCTGTAGAACTCAAAAGCTTTCAGTGAGTTAATTGAATAGCATGCACAAACTCTACAGATAAAGGAAATAGGAGTGGACAGATATTTCATAAAGAATTTGAGACTTGAGTTGAGCATTGAAGGGGGGTTGGCAAAGACTGTAATGTAATAAAGAATAAGAAGAAAGCAAGTGAATGAGCAAAGCAGGGGACACAAGAATAGGCATCGCACAGTCAGCTTTCTCGAAACAATTATAAACCAGTTTTCTCTTTAAAATGAGCATTGTTTTCTTTTCATTACATAAAATTTGTTAACAATGAGTGTATTTTAATTTGATGGTGTTCCTGGAGAATGATATGAATATATTGGTACTATAAACATCAGGAAGGAAAGAATTGATAACACATACGAAAGAACCATAAACTAGAATGCAGGCACATTACAGGTGCTCAGTAAAATTTTCAAGGTTTTCCTTCTCATCCTTTGGATCAGGCTGTGTTTATTATATTTTTTGGAAATCCACTTTAAACTATACCAAAAAAATTAAAAGTAATTCTAATGAGGTGGAGCTGTAGATTGGCTTCTCTAGAAAGCAGATGCTGACATGAAGGTAAGTCTAGAAAAATAAGTTTATTATTACATGCTTTTATAATCAATACCTGTGGAAGAGATGGAAAAGAGGCAGAATTTGCTGAGGGAAGTTCAATCCCAATGCAGCCTCAGTGAAGGTTTTAGCAAACATCACAGGTTGCTCTGAAGTGGGGGTCAAATTACTTAGCCCATGTTGTGGTCAGAATGAGAGCTACCCTAGGAAGGAAAGAGAACCCTAGTTGAAGCAGATTCCTCCAATCAAAGGCAATTTTTTTGAGAGGTCTGAGAGGTGACAGCTGTTAGCACTCTTCCAGTTTCTGGAGGAATTAGTCTTTCAATACTGTGTCACTCTCCAAGGGCTGCTGTCACTTCACTGGAATAAAGGAACTACGGGGCCTGTCGTCGTCTGCTCGAGCTTCCATAACAAAATGCCACAGACTAGGTGACTTAAAAAGCGAATTTATTTTCTCACAGTTCTGGAGGCTAGAAGTCCAAGATCAGGGTTTCAGCTGATTTGATTTAGGTTAAGGGCTCTCTTCCTGGTTTGCGTATGGCCACCTTCTTGCTATGTCCTTATGTGACCTTTCCTTGGTGTGTGCAAGGAGAGGGAGAGAGAGAGAGCAAGCTCTCTGATGTCTCTTATAAGGACACTAACACTATTGTATTATAGTTACTGACATACCTTTTAAACAGTCTTAAGTACTTCTTATATTTAATTTATAATTTAAAATAAACTTTTATTTCTAAATATGGTCAAAATTAGAAAGTTTTTTGGTTGTGTGATGTAGAACATAAAATTTCCTTGAGTTGTAGTTAGAAATGATAATAATTTGGACTGTTTTTCAGAGACAGGTTACAAAATAGTTGAATTAATTAATAGTTGTGGACAAAAGCATTTTTTGTGATTACAAATGTTTGGATTAAATGAAAATGTTTACAAGCATATACATCATAATATGCCTCCATAATATCTGACCTTTTGATAACAATCAAACATGCGCCCTGTTCAACTATTAATGGATTGGGGGGAATGAGGTACTTAAAGGAAAATAACTCTCTTTTTTCCTTTTGAGTATTTATGTGACAGTGCAATGTAGAAATAAAGCAATTCTTTTGATGTTTGGATATAAAAGAATTTGAAAATCTTACCCCGTGCAGTGTAAGTGAAGAAGTGAAGAAATCTTTTATAGATTTTGTGGGGGTGGGGTGGGAGTTTCAGATAGTGGATGGAGAGCTGAGATGAGGAAGTAAACATTTTAACACTGTAAAAGTCTCAATATTTATTGAGACTTTCATGTCCTATTTGCCTTTACTTCCTGTTTTGTGTTTAGTAGTTTACTGATAATAATGAAGGATAAAGTTTTGAGACTCTTCCCTAAACCTGACTCTGCTGGCAAATTGTTCATAAAATCCACAGAAAACTATCTCCCAGGCATAGTACTGAGGATCTAATAAAATTTTAATCTCCTGTTTCTGAAATATTTCAGCTGGAGGGTAGAGAACAATTCTGTTGCTCTCCTCTGTGACAGATTTATGTGTTCTTTAGAGGATGATAAGCAGTAGAATTTCTTTTCTTTTCTTCATTTCTTTATATGCCAACTTTTAAAGATTCACAGTTGAAAAATGTCACTTGTCACATTCAGTCACGAATATTATCTTCCTATTGAACATGGAACATATCTAGTCATTGTTCCTAAATGGATTCTGACCTGAAGGATAAACAATCACTTTTAGGTCATCTTTGGTGAAGTCCATATGAACTAGTTGTTCAGTCCTGCTGAAGGCGTTTCAAATACATTATCAATTGTAAATACTCATCTTTATTTGTGTCGCAAATGAAAGCTTGGAAAACCACATGTTATTCTGTGATATCTATATATCAGCATATCTGTATCTGTATTTATTCTTTCAGGTAATTAGTCAGTCATGGATTAGCACATTACATGATTGGGGGCTAACATTTGTAAAACAGCTATAAGACAAAGAAATTATTTGGAGTCAGAATAATAAGGATGATTTATAGAAGAGATAGATTAAGAGTAAATCCTTGAAGGATAGAAATATTTATCCTGAGAATGAGGGCACAAACCAAGTGTGGGAACAGAACTAATTAGAGTACATTTCAGAAACCATGGGAAATTTGGCTTAACTCTAAATTGCCTTGAGGCACTGAGTCAAAAACAGGGCCTGTCTGTATCTAGCTCACCCTTTCACTTCTCACATCCAGCTTAGGGCCTATGGTAAAATAGATTCTCAAGAGATATTGTACGAATGAATGTAAATCGAGTGAGTGAACAACAGAGGTAAGGCTGTAGGGGTTGTGCTTATTTTCTGACCATCCTTAGATACGTATTTGACTTTGTAAGGGAGGCTTGTAAGTCATTTCATCCAACTGACCACTTGCCCTTTTCTGCCTGACAGCCAGATAGATATACTAGTGGCTTGATGTTCAATCCACCTTTCGTCTACAATCTTACGGCCTCAAGCAGATAATGCCATATTGCCATAGTGTGACTCATGTGCAAACTAGTGTTTTCTTTGATTGAACTTTTAGTGTGAGAGGTTACCGATATTCAGTGCTCAGAGCAAAATCCAAAAAGAAGCTGAAAAGACATGGGAAAAAAATAGGTCCCACAAAACAAGACATTTTCTATTGGTCTGTGCTTCACACATATTCTTACAGCAAAGACTTGCTCAGGAGCTGAATTGTCATTTCATCAGGAAAGAGTTTTATTAGTCAAGAAAGCACCCAGGCTGGTCAATAGAAATATACTGTGAGTTGACTGGTATTTTGGCCTGTGTCTAAATTTCACACTCAAGGCAGCTATGGAAGGGAGCATGAGAGTCTCTGATTCAGATGAAACAGTCAGAGAACATTAAACCTGCTTTAATTTTTGTGAAAGTTTTGCAACCCTCCAGAGGTAGATTACATTAATAGGTAATCTACATTAATAGGTTAATGCTTAACCATTTCCCCACCTGTATGTTTATAGATCTCCTTTCTCTTCCTAGAGTGTTGTGAGATGAATGGTTGGGAAAGAGAAATATGATCACATTGCTCTTATTTAAAATCATTCAACACATCCCTGTGGGTTTCAGCATAACATCTGAAGTCTTTAGAATAGAGTACAAAACTCATCATGTACCCCACATTCTCCTTTCCTGCCTTGCCTTTAATGAGTTTGTGAGTACCTACTATGTGCCTGGAACTGGGCTCCTTGCCAGGTTAAAAAGGAATACGGACCTACTGGATTGTTCCCCCCCCCCGCTTTTTTTTTTTTTGTTTTTTTGACAGAGTCTCGCTCTGTTGCCCAGGCTGGAGTGCAGTGGTGTGATCTCAGCTCACTTCAACCTCCGCCTCCTGGGTTCAAGCAATTGTCATGCCTCAGCCTCCCGAGTAGTTGGAATTACAGGCATGCAACACCACGCCCAGCTGGTTTTTGTAATTTTAGTAGAGATGGGTTTCACCATGTTGGCCATGCTGGTCTCAAACTCCTGGCCTCAAGCAATCTGCCTGCTTCAGCCTCCCAAAGTGCTGGGATTACAGGCGTGAGCCACCATGCCTGGCCTGTTCCCCCCTACTTCTCAGACCTAATCTAAAGCACATTTAATGGGCTCATTTGCCTTTTTCCATAATAATTTTTATGCCTGCCTCTCCCCATTGCCCTCTGTTTTTTACTTGATTTATCCCTACTCATTATTAAAAATTCACCCAAGGCCCAGCTCGCCTGTTCCCCTCTGGGACCCACAGGCTGTATGCACACACTCTGCATTTCCAAAAAACATTGTTTTCTTCCTTGCATTTAGCTTCTAAGTTACATGCTTTTCTCTGAGAGGAAAGTCTGTGTTTTCGTCTTTATCCTCAGTAACTTGCACAATGCCTAGCTCATAGTTGGTGTTTAATAAATGTTACTTCGCCTCTTCGGTTTTCTTAGAGGTCATCCCTTTCTGAATCAAATCTTACTTTTCGGATGGTTACTTTGATGATGTGGATTTTATTCATTTCTTTGGCAAATATTTCTTGGAAATCTACTGTGTTAGTCCTTATATAGACATATTTCACACCTGATTTCTTCAGCAACAATGGTGTTGAAGAAATGGAAACTCAGCTGTGATGTTGCTAGTCTTACCCTTCCTATGTGCCAGGAATGCTTCTCAAACTAAGGCGTATCTGACTCCAAATGCTCTTTTTTTTATGCCACGTTTTTTTCCTTTAGGGTAAAGTATAATTTTAGGTACATCTTATATAGAAAGTAAAAATATACTACAGTTTAAATTCTATCATAATTAACTCCTTAAGACCTCTAAGTTCACTTGCCATTTGATCATTACAAGCACACTGTTAGAAATCTATTTAACTGTCAGGATCTGAACATCAGAGAGGAGGCACTTAGGGCTTTATTTTTTGTTTTTCTCTTTGTTAATAAATTATCAGATGAAAAACAAAATAATATTTTGTTCCCAATAGAGGAAAGAGAAGTTCAATGCAAGTGACGCTCTTACTCCTTCCCCAAGCTTGTGGGTTGAATGTACTTACGCTGGTTGGTTTAGGGAGTTGTTGCAAGTTTCTCTCTTCAGTCACGTCTTTAAGGGGCCTGCAGGGAATAATTTTTCCCCCGTTTCCTCTCTTTGTTATAAATCTTATATAAAATGAGGAGTTTACTTGACACTGTACATGTTGTGGAAACAAAGATGGATGAATGGGGGCTGAGGCCAGTGGAGAAAAGAATTAAGCAAGAGTTGATGTTTACCAGTATTTGCATAGCAGATTAAAGATGCCTGAAAATTATTTGACCTTCCTCCCATAGAGAAATGAGATTGATTTTTCCTTCCCTTGAATTTGGGTGGACTTTGTATTTGCTTTGGTATAATACAGTGGAAGGGAAACATGCTTATTTCCAGGCCCAGGCTTTAATATATCGGCAATTGCTACTTTCAGTTTCTTGGGACTCTCACTCTAGGAGCCCTGATCTTCCATGTGAGAAGCAAAACATGGTGACCACATAAAGAGCGCCTGTGGCTATGTGGAGGGGAAAAGGGCCCACTGAGTCTGGTCGTCCAGCTCTCCTTGCAAGCTGCCCGGCTTACGCATTCCCTTCCTCTGCTCACCCCGCAACCCGCACTAGCCCAGCCGCCACCTGAATACCATTGAGTGACTGCAATTGATGTTACAGTCTTTTGCGAAGATAAGAATCTCTCAGATGAGTCTTTTCTGAATTCTTAACCTCTATTAAGCCACTGAAGTTTGGTGCAGTTTGTTAACAGTGATAGATAAGCAGAAATGTTTGTACCTAGTCATCAATTAACAATTACTTTAACTTATTCCACATCTACTGAGGAAATCACTGAAGCTAGTTGGATATATCATATCTTCCTTCATTTTGATGATGGTGTCACCAGAATATATATGTTAACTAGAAGGGAAGATATGGATTATTTGTGTGTGCATATATTTTTTAATCTTTCTAACTGATGGCAATCATAATATTTATTTAACACATTATATTTTTTCACACCACATTTACAACTATTATTTCTAAATCTTTCTACCATCAGTCTAGTAAGGTCATTTGTCAAGTCTGAATTATGCCATCTTGCAGATGCTGAAACTGAGGCATAGAGGTTAGGTTAACTCCCTAGGATCACATAGCTAAGGTTTTCACAGCACACTGGGTAAAAAAAATGTTATTCAGAAATTAAATTAATGTTAAGATGGTTATCTGTTTAATGCTTGTCACATCAACTAAACTTTAAGCTCCAGGAGGTCAGAGAACTTGTCTGTCTTCTTTAACACTTGAAGCGTAGAGCCTAGCCCAGTGCAGCCCGAGAAAACACTCACTTGGTATTAGTTGAATGAATAAATACATAAAGAATGCTGGGGCTCTGACTAAAACCTAGGTTTCCTCATTCAGAGGTTGAGTTTCTTTTAGTCACACTCCTGAGTTATGAGACAGGGTATGAGTCACTTGGGAATTTCAGTTAGAAGGCACAGGCACCAATCATGCCCTCCCCTTCCCCTGTTCCCTTTCCATCAAAGCATATCTTTGTGTGAGAAATAATGTTTTTGAAAAATCTTCCTAGTCATTCTGATATACCTCCTGTTGAGAACTAAAACACAATACTACCATTCTTTCTCTTAATCACATGTTATTCTATGTAAAAGAAGTGCTATGAGAAAATGCAATCATGTATGCTTACAAATTCTGAGAACATTAAAGTTAAAAGAAGGAAAAATAAGAGACAAAACAATGCCAGAAAAATGCACTAAAATGCAATTAACAATAATTTTTTTGTATGTGCTTAGTGAGTGTTTATCATATTGATTTTCAATTTTCAGTATTTTGATCATTTTTTTGGAGACAGTAGTTTTATAATTAAAAAGAAAATACCCCCAAAGCCCAGTACTCTGCCTTAATGATTAAATGAATGGAAGATGGAAAGCAAAGGGAGAATCTGAGTTAACCAGTCATCAATGACATGGGAAGACAATTCACTAGGAGGTATTCAGCACCTCTGAGCTAGTGGGGACTGTATCTCCAGTAAGGGTAGGTATGTAAGTTGCTTTCACTGATGCTTTTCTAAATGCTTCTGAACTCTGAAAGGCCCTTGAACTAAATGTCAGTTCCTATGAATTAATGTTGGTCTTCAGTACCTACCAGCAGGTCAGCACACTGGCAGAGAAAAAATAAAAAACAAAACAACAAAACAACAACAACAACAACAAAACAAACAAAATACTGCTTCTCAGGATTCCCAGCACAGTGAGAACAACTGGCCAATACATTTAGGAAAAAAATGCTACAAACCTTGTATTGTTCGCTACCCCAAATTCATAGATAGGCTCTTGGATGTGAGTGTCTGAAATGCTGTGTCCCATAGTTAACGGTTCATCAGTCAGGATTAGGGTAAAGGAATATTGATACTTTAAGGTAATTAGAATAACGTTTCTCTTTTGTTTCGGACAAACATAAGCTTTTTCTTTCTGTAGTCAGAACTGTCCTCTCAAATAAGAAGGAAAGAAAATATGAAGAGAGGTAGAGTAAGGAAGGAGGTAGAAAAGAGAGAGAAGGCCGGGCGCAGTGGCTCATGCCTGTGATCCCAGAACTTTTGAGAGGCAGAGGCAGGTGGATCACCTGAGGTCAGGAGTTTGAGACCAGCCTGGCCAACATGGTGAAACTCCGTCTCTACTAAAAATACAAAAATTAGCCGGGCATGGTGGTGTATGCCTGTAATCCAAGCTACCCAGGAGACTGAGGCAGGAGAATTGCTGGAAACCGGGAGGCAGAGGCTGCAGTGAGCCGAGATCACACCACTGCACTCCAGCCTGGGCGACAGAGCAAAACTCTGTCTCAAAAAAAAAAAAAAAAAAAAAAAGGAGAAAGGAGGGAGAGAGGGCAAGAGGAAGAGAGAGAGAAGGAGGGAGGGGAAGAGAGAGATAGAGAGAGGGAGAGAGAGACCTTAGCTCTGGAAAAATAGTTTTCTGGGAATACATATGTATATATTCACATACCTCAGTGAAAATATTAATGAATTAGAGTTATGTGAAAAATAAGGTGCTTTAAGAAGATTGACTAGCTCTAGTACTCATTGTCAATTGACTTTCAATTGATGGTACCTCATATACCAAATACCAAATTAGAAGATAACACCAGAAGTTGCCACATGGGTCGTCTCAGCTATAACTGAGGAAGAAGATAGAAAACTCACAGCATCCTAGGGGATGTCTGTAAACGTATAAATGGTGTCTTACACATTTCAGTTATCCTAACAGAAGGGCCACTCTTCCAGAGAAGGTGGACTGAAATTCACAAGGATGGCTCCTAGACACCAAGAGAAAGTTTAAAGATATCCCATATAATCTCCTTATTAGGTTTGGGAAGTGTGCAACTTTCAAAGATGTTATTTTTCATATCAAACTTAACTGTTACAAATATTTGGGGAACCATAAATATTAGGATTAAAAACATTCAAAAGCTCTTCTTTCAAAGACAAATCCTATTCACATTTTGGACTGTATCCTATTTTTTGTTATATTTAACAGAAATTAATCTTGTTAAAGCAACATTCCATAAAAAAAACTTACCTGTTTTGTCCCACTGTTCTTGTTTTCACGGATGCAACATGTTCTTGTTCTTGTTTTCACGGATCCCATTTTGGTCCAGCAAGAAAGTAACTTTCTAAACTAACATGAAAGGCTACTTTAACGTGGACTTTAAAAACAGCAAATGAATTTATTGCAAATAACTGAACACAGACCCGGGGATGATTCCATGTATGAACAGATCCCATATTATTATGAAGATTACATTGGTACAACACACCTTATATACTTTGAAGAATACATAAAAGAGTCTGCTATAAACTTTTAGTTCTCACTACCTAAAAACAGATAGAAATAACTCATGACCTGTCTCTAAGAAAGTAATCACTGTTACAACTCATCCTGAATTCCTTCAAATTTTACTGAACCTCCTTGATATGCTTCCCATCATTTGTTTATCATGCTGGTTTATGCTGTGATGTTAACTTTTTTCCTCTTTCTTTCTTTCTTTCCTTCCTTCCTTCCTTCCTTCCTTCCTTCCTTCCTTCCTTCTTTCTTTCTCTTTCTTTTTCTTTCTTTCTTTCTTGTTTTTCTTTTCCCCTTCCCTCCTTCCCTCCTTCCCTCCTTCCTTCCTTCCTTCCTTCCTTCCTTCCTCCCTTCCTTCCATCCTCCCTTCCTTCCTTAATGGAGTCTCACTCTGTCGCTCTGGCTGGAGTGCAGTGGTGCGATCTCGGCTCACTGCAACCTCTGCCTCACGGGTTCAAGTGATTCTCTTGCCTTAGTCTCCCAAGTAGCTAAGATTACAGGCACGTACCACCACACCTGGCTAATTTTTGTATTTTCAGCAGAGACAGGGTTTCACCCTGTTGACCAGGCTGATCTCAAACTCCTGACCTTAAGTTATCTGCCCACCTCTGCCTTCCAAAGTGCTGGGATTACAGATGTGAGCCACCATGCCCAGCCAATGTTTATTAGAAATAATATTTTAAGGTTTTATTCTTAGTCATTGAACACTGTATAATTGAAGTTTACTCAAATAAGTCTCTATTCAATTAATTAAAGTGCACTCCCTTGACTACATTTTCTAGGATGCTGTACTGCCTAAGAATGCCTGCTTATCCACTTAATTCTATAGCCGTCTTCTAACCTCAGGGCTCCCTGCCTTTCGCCATTTTATTTTCTTCTCAATTAGTATTTTGTGTGTGCGTGCAGCAGGGGCAAAAGGGAACATTTTAGATATTTTATGTCAGGAGAAATAATTTCCTCTTTAGGATTTGAGGTATTTGAAAAATGGGTCATGTTTTTTGTTTAATCTAGTGTCCCACCCCACTCCACTCCCTCTCTGTCTGCAGCAGCTCTGTAAAGTGATATTGCCTGATTTTGAATATAACATAATTTCTTAAAGATTGCTTTTAATTTTTAACATAATAGTAATTATGGCCATATAACATATTTTTATTCTTCCTCTTTCCACTTATTTTTTGTACCCTAAACACTTTTATACTTTCCATAAACTTAAAATCATTATTTTTAATTGTTTTTGAACCAAAGGTATATTATATTCATTTTTATTATGTCATAAAATTAATATAAGTCTAGTAAGGCTAATTTCAAATAGAAGTAAAAAACAAAGTTTCACAACTCATCTTCTTTATGATATATGAACAATATATATGTGTGTGTTTATATATATACATATACATATAAATATAAAATACAAAGCAATATGTTTATATATATACACATATGTATATATTATATATGCACATATATTTATTATATATTTTATTATATATTATATATACACACATATAAACACATGTATATAAATATTATATACACATTTATATTATATACACATTACATTATATTATACATTATAATATATATTATATACACATTATATATTTATATATATAAATATATATAAAAACATATTGCTTTGTATTTTGGCATTTGCTTTCTGAAGTGGGAATTCTAGATGCAAGTGCGTGGACAACAAGGTTTTCTAGGTCTTAGATTCTATATAGATGCAATCATACTTCAGCAATGTTTGTCCAGCTAGCTGTCCCACATTACCTATATGATGATTATATGGGTAATATTATTTTTGTCTATTATTTAAAGCTTTTTAAAAGATAAGTTTTTCTTACAACAAAATTAATAACAGTGTTTTGTGAGGTTTAAGCCATATGAAGAAGTAAAATGTATGACATTAGTCCTAAAGCAAGGAGATGGAAGAATACTCTCATTAGTTTGTTATATTGGATCTGAAATGGTATTATATCCCTTGGAGATAGGCTGTTACATACAAGTAAAAGATGTAAATTATATATCTGAAAGCAAGCACTAAAATAACACAAAAGTTATAACTAATAACCCAATAAAGGAGAGAGAATAGAATTATTGAATATGATCAGTTAATTCAAAGGGCAGAAAAAGAGAAAAGAGAACAAAGAGCAGATGAGAGATATAAAAACAAATTACAGGCTGATAGATTTAAACATAAGGAAATCAATAATCACATTAAATGCAAATGATCTAAACACACTTATTTAAAAGGGAGACTCACACTGGATATAAAGAGAAGGTCCAGCTACATTCTTCTTAGAAGAAAGCTTTGGAAAACAGAAGAAAAACCACTGACTTATGATGCCAGTGCCCCATCATTGCTTTTATAGTTTGTATTTATTTCCTTCTAGACTTTGTTTCATAGGTATGGTTTACTTTGTTGCTATTGTGGTATGTATACAGCTTTCTTTTCTGCTTTCTCACTTAACAGTACGTTGCTATATGGTAATTAGCTAAAGCTCATGTTTCACAATAGTCCATTCTTTCTGTAGCACTTCAGAATTTAGAAGTAAACTTCCAATATTAGACAAAATTTTTTCAAAGCTGGCCGACATAATCAGCAATAGTATACAAAATAAGAGAGGATCCTGTTCTTAAAAAATTAAAAACACCATTTCTTACAATGCTTATCCTTGAGTGAAAGTCTTATCCCAACAAAGGCTGATGACTCAATGGTCCAGTGGAGTCATAGATTCTATGGTTGTTTGAATCTGTGTATGTGAAACCCATGGATATGAAGGGCCAACTGTGTGTGTGTGTGTGTGTGTGTGTGTGTGTGTGTGTGTGCGCCCATGTGTGTGTATATGCATTTTTTAATCTTTGAAATTTATGTTCATATTTGGTGCTTTAATGTCACATAGAGTATATTATTACATACTATTCAAAGTTGTGAAATTTTAAATAAGTAGCTGCATTTGCATGAATGAGTATAAAATTAAAAGATAATTTGTAAGCATATTTTCAAAAGGTAGATGTGTGAAAATGTGTTAATGCCTGGCAATAGTACAAAGAGGGTAATATAGTTAGAAATAATATAAAAGTTATTGACATTTGGGATCCTAGTGAAAATATTATGGTTTTGGAAGTTAATTTGTTGTTAAGTGAGCTACAATTAATATAATTAGAAAACATGAGAATATTATCAGGTCAGTGCTAAACACAGTACCTATTAAATTGTGAATAAACTTGCTTTTTAAAATAGTAAAAACTGGTCTTTCATACTATGTCATGAAATACTGCTGATATTCTTTTCATTCATTGGGATTTAATTATATTTTTATTTTAGTATGAAAATAAAATTTGTGATAAGATTCTATAAGTTCAACTACATATCCTTAAAAATATATTTTTCACAGTTGACATGGAAATATTGTAATTTCCAAGGAAAAAATTTTAGAAGTAGGATTACTAAGTAAAAGTCTAGGAACAATTTGTATGGCTCTTGATGCATTTGCCAACTTTACTTTTTAAAGTGGTTAAACCAATTTACCCTTGTGAGCATGCAATCATCTGTGAGTAGGTAAGTTCCACTTAAACTTTGTCAACATTTGGTAGTGGCATCAGTTTTAGTTTTTGCTTAGCTATCAGATTTCTTCTTATTTTAATTTGAGTACATTAATAAGGAGTTGAGTATTTGAAGGTACCCCACCTATAAACAGTTTTAATTGTTAGAAAATCGTATTTATAACTTGCTGAGATATGTTTGTGTTAACACACTCCCTTTTATCCTAGATCAGGATTGTTATAGAACACTATTTTCTCTTTTGAATAAACATCTATAAATGTATCATCTCCAGTATTAAAATAAAAAACAAATTCAAGGTTTTAGCAGAAAGTAATTTTCTAGAAAGAAATTGCACAGGTTGGAGGTGGAGGCTAGGTGCTGACATTCTTTCTCTTCATCATTTCTGTCACAGTGTTTTCATTCTGTCATGAGAACTACCATTACCTTGTCAATCCACCAACCTTCCAATATGCCTCTAAAACTTGGTGAGCATGGACTGAAAGTCCTTTCCCTTAGATTGTCTTAGCACCACTAAGGACAGAAAGAAAATAATTCGGGAGGCAGCTTAGCATTTATGCTATTTTTTTTTTTACATGAACATGTCATAAAATTCAAATGTACAAAAAAGTACACACTATAAATTGGAAAACATGTTTTCATCCCACTTTTCCTTCTCAAAGATAGGCAGTGTTACCTTTTAATGCACTTACAAGCAAATTCTGCTCCCTCCTCCCCGGCTCGATATAAATGATTGTATTTTTTGTCTGACTGCTTGGAAAAGATCAAAAGTTTTGGCCTCAGCAGAGACTTAGTAAATGGCCCAGCCAGACTCAAAAGTATCTATGTGACTTTCAGTAAAAGCAGCTCACATCGCTGAAGTTTAATTTTTTTATTTGTAAAAATGAAGGAAATTGTTACCTCAGAGGGTTGCTTACCTCAAAAAAGTACAAATAAACCAATTCCTGTAACATAGAGGTTGTTTAATAAATTATAGTTAACGCATTTGTTATGATTACATATATTATTGCTGTTTTAATTAATTTCATTGTTAAGAGACAGCAAAACCCAGAAATGATTAGAGATCATTCTAAAAGCATGAACAAAGAAAAGTATCCTTGGTAAGAGATTCCGGTTCTAAATGTCAGAACAATGAGCAAATAGCATTAGTTGGCTTTTAATCCCCATAGATGTAAGGAACTGCTTTCTTGTTCTTATCTAGATTTCTTTCCTCCCGCAATATAATTGTTCACAGCATCCTCTCCTAAAACAAATAGAAAAAAACACTTTGATTCAAAATCTCTAACCTCTTAGCTTTCTTTCTCTGCTTGTATTAGAGAAACTTGCTAATTGACTTTCCACATCTTTCTGTAATAAGATATATCAACTCCACTCATCACTGGGTATTATTTATGAAGACTTGCTATTGTTTCCCCAAGAAGAGAAGTGATTATAAAATGATCACACCTTATCCATGCAAGACCCAAGAGAAAAAAGCTCCAACTCATGTCTGGTGATTAGCAGAGTGCTTCGTATACATAGGTACTCATTAAGTAATTATTGAGGAAATGAATTGCTGGCACACAAAGCAATTGGAAACTCTCACTACAGCAACTTGACTATGGCTGGCACATGTCCTAATTCTTCTTACAAAAAAATCCACGGTCCTTTCACTATTCTTAGGAAATGATCATCTCTCATATTCTTAGTCTTCTCCTCTACATGGTTGTCACTCGGACTCATTATACAAAGAAACAAAGATAAAGAGCGTTGCACACAAACAAAACAAAAAAATCAGCAAAGCAAAACTCCAGAGGCTCTGCATACTGACCTCACAGAATGCACCAGTTTTATTTCTTGATTTGAACATTATATTTGTACTATATGATATTATATTAGCTATTTTCAGGTGTGGAAATCTCCTTTTCTGTTAATATTGATGTATTTAATTTTTTTTAAAGTTTTACTTTTTTTGACAAATTATAATTGTATGTACTATGGAGTACAATGCTAATTTTGATATATGTATGCATTGCAGAATGATCAAATAAGGGAAATTAGCATATCTATTACTTCAAAAATTTACTATTTCTTTGTGGTAAGAACATTTAAAATCCTCTCGTTTAGCTGTTTTGAAATATACAATACATTATTATTAACCATAGTCACCTTGCTGTGCAACAGAACACCAGAACTTATTCTTCTTATCAAACTGTAATTTTGTACCCGTTGACCAAAGTCTCCCTTTTCCCCATCCACTTTCCCTTCGGGACCTACCCCAGCCTCTTGTAACCACCATTTTACTCTCTACTTCTAAGAGTTTGGCTTTTTAAATTTCCACATATAAGTGGCATTATACAGTATTTGTCTTTCCATGTGTGGCTTATTTCACTTAAAGTTATGTCCTCTAGGTTCATCAGTGTTGTTGCAAATGTTAGAGTCTGCTGTATTTAAAAGCGGAATAGTATTCTACTGTGTCTATACAACATTTTAAAAATCAATTCATCCATTGATAGACATTTCAGATTTTTCTTTATCTTGGTTATAGTGAATAATGCTGCAATGAACATGGGAGTGTAGACATCTCTTTGGCATACTTATTTCAATCTTTTTGGGTATATGCCCAATAGTGGGATTGCTGGATCATATGTTAATCCTACTTTTAGCTTTTTGAAGAACTTCCGTACTGTTTTTCAATATGGCTACTAGTTTACAATACCAAATGGGATTACATCAAACTAAAATGCTTCTGTACAGCAAAGGAAACAATTAATAGAGTGAAAAGACAGTCTACAAATTGGGAAAAAATATTTGCAAATAATTCACTGGATCAGGGGCTAATACTGAAAATATACAAGGAACTCAAACTACTTAATAACAAGAAACTGACCCTGTTAAATGTACACAAAGGGCTTGAACAGACATTCTCAAAAGAAGACATACAAATGGCCAATAAATATATGAAAAGATGTTCAACATTTCTAACTGTCAGATCATGCAAATCACAACCACAATAACATATTACCTCACACTTATTAGATTGGCTATTATCAAAAAGAAGAAAGAACAAGTTTTCAACATTAATAATTTTTTGCCTTTCTTTGCACTCCCCTACCCTTCTGAAAGCAAAAGAGAGGAAACTGAAGATTGTTTCTTCTCCACTGGTCATTTAAGGTTTGTTTGCTTACTTTTCTCAGCAAAGAAAGAAAATTGGGAACAAAAATAAATATTGTACTTAAGTTATGAAACTGCTTTAAACAAATCTCTCTCTCTCTCTTCTCTTTCTCATTTGAAGGTAATTCTTATTGTGCCATTTGCTTATTCCTAAATCCTGTCATGGGCAGAATATTCTTACTACAACTATCATATTAAATTCTTTCCCCATTTTCTGTTGAGAAATGTAATTATCATTTATAGGGATATGTCACAAGAAAGCATGGAATGTATATTATATATGTAAAGACTAGACTTGTGATAATATTCATAAATAAGTAACTCTCCGCAAATCCATTAATTAAAATCATCCTAATATTTCTATTGTGAAGGATAATGAAGGATAGCAATTTAGCTTCTGTTCTTATTCTGTGTCTTAATAAGATTGTTATTGGAGTGATTGCTACACAGGGATACCAGGAAATTTGCAATTGATTTTTATTTACATGACTGTTCTTTTTCTCATTCAAGAATATTGTCTCAGATAAGCAGTAATTACTGGAATCAAGAAACTCTTTATTACAAGAAACTAAATAATATTGTTGATAATGGAAGGATGATCTCAGTGGATGAGTTCACTAATATCTGTCTTTTTTTCCAAACCTAAAACTCTTCTCTTGTATTTTAACATTTCTATGCTAAAAGAATACTACTTCTATTGTATAAAAATTAATGTGTACATTATAAAAGTTCCAAATATAAAAATATGACTCCTTTGGAATGAGTCTTAATTTGGTAAAAAATGTTTTGGAACATGCTGAAGTTTCCCTTTGTTTGTAGCCTTTTCACAGTGTTAGATCAAAATGGGAAAGGAAAGGGGTAAGAAGGCAGTGGTAAGGAAGCTACAGAGCACATGTTTTAACATTCAAAAATTAGCACATATTTTTAGACAAATAAACATGAACTTATAGGGAAAAGAATATTTGAAATTATGGCTGTCATTGAAAATATGAAAGATAAGTCATATATATATTTTTTTGCTTTTATGGTCTTCTGTAAAAAATCTGAAATGATGAAAAGTTAAAAAGTATCACAATTAGATTTCTTTTTGCTTACACAAATGTTTTAATGATCAAACACATCTGCTTAATAAGCATCAATTTACTAATAAAAGTGTTACATGTGCTAAGGAAGAAAAGGTATTTATATACTATCTGACAGAGAGGAATATTACTCAATTTTATCTTGTAGTTTATTCAACAGTGACTAAACTCCAAAACTTTATCTGTTTCAAACATATTTTCAAATGAGCTGGGAGATACAAATAAAATATAGTTCAGGCTACATATTGGGCTGTTGGGGGCAATAACACAGATTAATAGAAAGGATTCTTCTTAGAAGGAGTAACAATTTAATGAATGACTTAATTTTGTAGCAATAAGTAGTATTTAAATTAAAAATGACCCTCCACTTATTTATCAGTTTGTTTTACTAAAATAGAGTCAAAATAGAGGAAAACCTGGCATGGGCAAGTAGTCCTCAGGGACAGTCTGAAAAAACCATTAGGGCTTTGGAAAATTTTCATGGACTTGAATAGAGGTGAGGAATGATTATTTCAACACTAAGTCTAGTGTCCATCATATAGTGCCAGTCAGTTCATGTCAAATAAAAGAGTGGATGAGTGAACAACTGTCAGAATGAGCAAACACATCGGACAGCAGAGCTTGAGTTTAGGCAGCAGTGCTATGATTCTTCTTTGAAGATCATCAATCTACTTTGCCTCTCAGTTTCCGAATAATGTAGTTGCAAATAAGCATGAGGAAGCTTAATCATATTTATTTCTGTCTTTATTTATATTTTATGTAATATATGATATAGTTAGAGGAGGGGGCATGAAAGTATAATACACACCCATGAACTCACCATCCAATCTGAAGAACCTAAGGACAAGAACTGGACCTCTATTGCAAAAGCTACTTATGTTTGTTATTCCTTTATCCTGTCTTTGGGCAGGGGTAGCCATTATACATTTAAAAAATAGTTTTACTACATATTTATGTTTTTGTAAGTAATATTTGTTTTATTTTGCTTTTTGTTAGCTTTATAAAACTTCTATCATACTGGAAGTGATTATTTACCTAAATTATTACCTTTGGTTTACAAAGGTAAAAAGTATATTCACTTTTACCATTGCAAAATATGCATAAAGTGATTGTTCACTGTCCTGTGGGTGAATAGTTGAGTTGGCTACCATTGTATGTACAAATGTATGTATACATTCATGTTGGCCATTACCATGTTGTTATAACAACATTTATTTATTTATAAATATGCTCCTAAAGTATAAACTCCACTCAGGCAGGAGTGTTTGTATTCTTTTTTTTTTTTAACCTAGAAAGGTGTATAATTAGTAATGTGTACTCAATAAATGCTTGTCATGGTTGTTGAAAGAAAAGAAAAATCAAAAATATTGTATGTGATTCCTAAATGTACATGTGCTTCCTATAATATATGTAATCTTCAACATTTTGCTCACATGTTCCGGAATTTTGAAAATCTGTGAGATTCTTTACACATTTTAAAGTTGATATTTAATTTGTAATCAACTGTTAAGTGATTGCAAATGATATAATTTATGGTATGTTTATATATTGACATTTTAAATTGATACTGTAATATAACTCATTTATATGGATACAATGGAATTCAAATAACATCATAATCTTTTACTCATGATCATTTACTTATAAAATGCAGAAAAAAGGTATTTTCTGAACCAGAAATTTTGTATATTTTCTCCTAAACTCATGTTTCCATTTCACTTCTTCCACAGAATTTTATCCTAATGCAAAATATAGTTGTACTTATATTCCCTATATTTGACACCCTCTTATATGTTGCAACAAAAAAATAATATATAAATATATAAAGAAATAATGTTTAAATATGTATATAAATTTGATTTAAAAATTTGCTATGCCTTTAAGACTGTCACGTGTTAAATTTTTTTTGGATTTAGTTATCATAACAACTATTAGCATACAATTGGTTAAATCCATTTCAAAGATAATTACCAAACATAAAGTAAAACTTTATTTGGAAATGCATCTCTTGAGATGGTTGGGGCTGTTATTTTTCTGTTTGCTCCTGGTTCTTGGATGACTATCACCTACTACTGAAATGAAACAGGGTTCAGTGGAAATTCAGAGTAAGATAAATTATTAGGCTACCAGTAAAGTGCAGTGTTTACATAAAGTGTTAAAATGGTCACTACTAAGTGCATATCGTATATAGTAGAATCCACTTTCTCTTCCCATAGGAATAAAATCAACAAATAAGAAAAGTGGTTGACAAGTTACAAACAATATATTTATTACGAAGTAAAAAAATAAGGCTTTTAGGTGTCCAATGGTGTTTGTGAGGTAAAATGCAGGAGAATGTTTCTCCTATGAGTAATAAACAGTTCAAAACTATAAAGCATTGTTTTTACTTCCAATATATGTACCATTTCCTCAAAGATTTAATGCTGACATATCAGAATTAAACATAAACAATTTTAACTTTAATTCTTTGAAATTATGCAAAATATTCAGTTCAGACACAGTCTTAGACAATTTCAGGGCATGAGATTTGGAGAAGGTTGTTTTATTTCTAGGGCAGTTTTTAAATACATTCTGAATATTTTAATTCTAAGCTAGATTGTGCAATAAGGCATGGAGCCACAGGTTGCCTATGTTGCTGTCTTTGGTGTTTCTTACCCTCACACTTTTTTTTTTGCTTTGCTATCATTATCAAGAGTCTCTCCCTCGAGTACAATGCCTTCTCCCATAATTACTGGATGAAAAAGTGAAGCCATTAAGTGAAATTGTCATCACTGTCATTATCCCACTCTACAATAAATATGAATTCACTGTAGTCTAATAGGGTGTGTGTGTGTGTGTGTGTGTGTGTGTGTGTTTGTGTGGCAGGGGGGATATTTCTAATGCCCACTTTGTCTTTAATAGAAGCACATCTATATATGATTGAAAAAGGCACAAAGCCATAAAGCTTGTTGATGTTACAATCATTAAAGTTGAATTTTCATACTGCCCAAGGTAATTTATAGATTCAATGCCATCCCCATCAAGCTACCAATGACTTTCTTCACAGAATTGGAAAAAACTACTTTAAACTTCATATGGAACCAAAAAAGAGCCCGCATTGCCAACTCAATCCTAAGCCAAAAGAACAAAGCTGGAGGCATCATGCTACTTGACTTCAAACTATACTACAAGGCTATAGTAACCAAAACAGCATGGTACTCGTACCAAAACAGAGATATAGACCAATGGAACAGAACAGAGCCCTCAGAAATAATGCCGCATATCTACAACTATCTGATCTTTGACAAACCTGAGAAAAACAAGCAATGGGGAAAGGATTCCCTATTTAATAAATGGTGCTGGGAAAACTGGCTAGCCATATGTAGAAAGCTGAAACTGGATGCCTTCCTTACACCTTATACAAAAATTAATTCAAGATGGATTAAAGAATTACATGTTAGACTCAAAACCATAAAAACCCTAGAAGAAAACCTAGGCAATACCATTCAGGACATAGGCATGGGCAAGGACTTCATGTCTAAAACACCAAAAGCAATGGAAACAAAAGCCAAAATTGACAAATGGGATCTAATTAAACTAAAGAGCTTCTGCACAGCAAAAGAAACCACCATCAGAGTGAACAGGCAACCTACAGAATGGGAGAAAATTTTTGCAACCTACTCATCTGACAAAGGGCTAATATCCAGAATCTATAATGAACTCAAACAGATTTACAAGAAAAAAACAACCCCATCAACAAGTGGGCAAAGGATATGAACAGACACTTCTCAAAAGAAGACATTTATGAAGCCAAAAACGCATGAAAAAATGCTCACCATCACTGGTCCTCAGAGAAATGCAAATCAAAACCACAATGAGATACCATCTCACACCAGTTAGAATGGCAATCATTAAAAAGTCAGGAAACAACAGGTGCTGGAGAGGATGTGGAGAAATAGGAACACTTTTACACTGTTGGTGGGACCTTAAACTAGTTCAACCATTGTGGAAGTCAGTGTGGCGATTCCTCAGGGATCTAGAACTAGAAATACCATTTGACCCAGCCATCCCATTACTGGGTGTATACCTAAAGGACTATAAATCATGCTGCTATAAAGACACATGCACACATATGTTTATTGTGGCACTATTCACAATAGCAGAGACTTGGAACCAACCCAAATGTCCAACAAGGATAGACTGGATTAAGAAAATGTGGCACATACACACCATGGAATACTATGCAGCCATAAAAAATGATGAGTTCATGTCCTTTGTAGGGACATGGATGAAGCTGGAAACTATCATTCTCAGCAAACTATCGCAAGGACAAAAAACCAAACACCGCATGTTCTCACTCACAGGTGGGAATTGAACAATGAGAACGTATGGACACAGGAAGGGGAACATCACACACCGGGGACGGTTGTGGGGTGGGGGGAGGGGAGAGGGATAGCATTAGGAGATATACCTAATGCTAAATGACGAGTTAATGAGTGCAGCACACCAACATGGCACATGTATACATATGTAACAAACCTGCACGTTGTGCACATGTATTCTAAAACTTAAAGTATAATACCAATAAAAAAAAAAGAATTGTTGTCTTCCTCCAAATAGCTTTTGTAGCCCAACTGTATTATTATCTATGAGTCACAATTATAAAAATACATATGTATTTGAAATGATTTATGGATATTTAACAATAAACATTTAATTGGCCCCAATAGCTTTATGTGAAAAAAAAAAAGTTGAATTTTCTGCCCCCGGTATTGTAAATTGCTTCCATTATGTAGCTTTCTTGAAGCTTGTACCATTTATGGTCAATTATTCTTATGAAATAAAGATGTGTGAGAAAGTTTTTTTAATAAAGTAGAAGAAATTGTGATTTTTGAATAGAGGGATGAAAAATAATTGTCAATACATGTCTAGCTTCTACTAAAGACATTCTCAGACAGATGGCCTTAGACTACATATATCACGTATGGAAGTTGGGGATCTGACAATTTATTTCCTTAAAACTGTGTCTGTAAGAAACTCCTTGTGTACCCCACGGTTACATACGTCCTAGTTTGAAGACTTCTGATATGTACTTGAGAATGGATTGTCCCATCATGGGATATGCCGCTTTTCCTCTTTATAACTGCCAAATTATTTACTTAGCTACTCTAACAAGAGAGTATAAGACTTCTCATTTTTTTCTATATCTTTGTCAACACTTATTGCCAGATTTATTAATTTTAGGCAATTGAGTGGTTATAAAAGGAAATTAGATTTTGGTATTAAATAGAATTTTCATGATTTTAAATTTACTAATGAGATAGAACATCTTTCCTTATGTTTATTTTCCTTTCATGATTCCTCATCAGTGCAATGCCAATGCGTGTCTCATTGTTCATTTTTCTACTGGGTCATTTGCCTTTTCATTATTGTTTTGTAGAACGTTTTTTCTGGATTTTAATAATACATTTGTTGTATATGTTGTAAATATCTTTTCTTAGTTTTTGGTTAGTCTTTTCAGTTTTTTTTTTAAATGGAATCTTTTGATGAACAGAGTTCTCAATGTAATGCAGTCTAATTGATCTTTGCTTTTTTTCTTTAATGATTAGAGCTTTTTGTTTTCAGTTAAAAAAATCTTTTCTATTCATAGTTTATAAAGATATCTTGCTCCCGTACAATTTCTAAAAGCTTTCTAAAAGTTTCGTATTTTACATTTAAGTCTTTAATCCATCTGGAATTGATTTTTTTGTGTGGTTTGAAGTAGAGATCCAATTTCAGTTTTTGCATCATTATCCAGTACTGTTGATTGTTTAGTGCATCTCTTGCCTAATGATCTGCAGTGCTATCTCTCTCTGTTACACATCAAGTTGTGTGTATGTGTGTGTGTGTGTGTGTGTGTTTCTGGACTTTCTTTTCTTGTATTCGCTTTCTATCCCTATGCAAATACTTCATTCTTTTTAGTTCTATACTTTTATAACAAGTCTGGCTATCTGTGACAGATTAAAAGGGACAGCAATTTTTTTACATATTTCCATCAGATGGAAGAATATGTTTCCTACCATTAAAAATTGTGCTGCTCTGTAACTATTTTGACCAATGGAATATGACTCCAGAACTAGACCTTAGGGTACCTGACAGTTTCCAGTGTGATCTGAGGGATCCCTGTGGCACCAATAAAGACATCTAGGTTCCCTGCTGGAGTGGCCAGATGGTGAGACCTTAACAACTACATGCAGAGGGAGAAGGAGCCAGCTAAATCCACATTGCTGGCTGTTCCTGCTAAGGTAATACATATTTGATTGAAGCTGTCTTGGATCCTCCAGAACAATTAACATCTAGCTGGGTACCACTGAGTGATCCCAGTTGACACTACATTCAGTCAGAAAAAAAAATAATAATAACACAGCTGTGATGGCTTCCTGATATGTCAATTTGTTCACCCTGTGGATAGCAGCTTCAGCCTATGCATATGGTCTTCCCTTCCTGGTTTCCTGTTGGTATAGACTTCGGGCTTAGCCCTCAAAATTGCATAAGCCAAATTGCTTGTAATAAATAAATCTTTGTAATAATTTCCTGCTGAGTCCACTTCTCTGATTTGAAATTTACTGATATATTAGCCAGGTCCTGCTCAAATTCTTGACCCATAAAAATCATAAGATTAATAAGATAGTTGTTTTAAGGCACTGAATTTTAAAATTGTTTGCAATACAGCAGTAGAAAACCAAAACAATATTTCATGAAGCAAGTTATTGGATTTTTAAAAAATGAGTATCTTAGCTATTCCTGTTTTTTTTTTCTATACAAATATTAAAGTCAACTTATCCAGTTTCTTTACAAACTCTATTGGTATTTTGATGGGAATTGAATTACATTCACAGACCAATATTAGGAGAATGGCAATTATAATATTGAATTATAATATTGAATCTTCCTATCCATCTGCCTATTTTTCTATTTAATCCTTTAATGTTTTTCAATAATGTTTCAATTTTTCCTCCAAAGGGTATATTATATACTTTTGTCATGTTTTTCTAGATATTTGATTTTTATTGCTCTTATATCTAGGTATTTATTATAATTTAAAAGTCTATTTGTTTCTATGGGTGGTAAATTATTTTTATATACTAATCTTATGTTTCTACAACCATGTTGAACTCATTAATTATAACACTTAGCCTAAATAACTTTTTAAGTTTTCCATCTTGCTTTTATCCTCTCCCTTCGTCCCATGTCTTCTCTTTATAGACTCTAAATGGGAGGTGAATAGAGACGAAAAGATGATTTGAAGTTTACCCATGGTCTGAGGGCTCTGGGAAGACTGGCAAAAAGCAGATGAAGTTTATCTTTCGTGCTATTCTACCCTTTAGATGTCCTGCACTTCCTGTGGTCATTTATTTCCCTTTTGAGTGTCCCATGTTCTTATGTGGAGACAGAGGAAATGAAACTCATAAAATTGATCCTAAGGAATTTGTGGCTTATGTGATACCCATAGCAGATTGTTTTTTCAAAGACTGCGCTCTCTCTCTCTCTCTCTGTGCGTGTGTGTGAATCCTATCCAATATGCTCTTACAATTTGATGTTGCCATGCTTCCATCAAGTGGTAAGGGGTTTTATATTATCTCTCCTCAAAATTATGCGGGCTTTTGTAAGTGTCACACACATATGCACGATTTTCTTCTGTACTCTTTTGAATCTGAATTATTTCATTCACCAAAATATTAAAAATTTATCCATATATCACTAGTTCATTTTTTTATTGCTAAGTAGCATTTCATTGTATGATTTTATCACAGTCAAGACTTCTCTTTATGGACACCTGGTAATGTGAACAATGTTGATATAAACATTTTTGTGCAATGCCTTTTTAAAAAATCCATTTTTAATTTTTTTTTCGGATAAATATCTGTGAGAATAATTGCTGGGTCCCAGGGAAATTACATACTCAACTTTTAAAGAAATGGCCTAACCATTTTGAAAGTGGTTGCACTATGTCCTCTTGCATGAGCAATGTATGATAGTTCTGTTTACTCCACATCCTCACCAACATTTGGTGTTGCAATTATTTTTCATTTTAACCATTTTGATAGGCAATATCTAATTGTGGTTTTAATTTGCATTTCCCTGAGATGAATATTAAGCACTTTATTGTGTACTTATTGGCCTTTTTATATATTGTTTTGTGAAGTCTATTCAAGTGTTTTGTCCTTTTATTTTGTGGATTGTTTGTATTTTTACTATTGAGTCACAGATACTTTTTGCATATTCTGAAAACCAAGTTTTGTCAGATATTTATGCCATGCATATTTTCTTCCTGTTTACAGTTTTCCTGTTTATTTTTTGATGGTATGTTCTACTGAGCAGAACTTTTCAATTTTGGTTAGGACTAATTTTTAATTTAATCGTATATTAACAATAAGCAGTAGAAAAGAGGAAAGAGGTGGCCGGGCATGGTGGCTCATGCCTGTAATCCCAGCACTTTGGGGGTCCGAGGCGGGCGGATCACCTGAGGTCGGAGTTTGAAACCAGCCTGACCAACATGGAGAAACCCCGTCTCTACTAAAAATACAAAATTAGCTGGGCGTGGTGGCACATGCCTGTAATCCCAGCTACTCAGGAGGCTGAGGCAGGGGAATTGCTTGAACCTGGGAGGTGGAGGTTGTGATGAGCCGAGATTGCACCATTGCACTACAGCCTGGGCAATAAGAGCAAAACTCCATCTCAAAAAAAAGAGAAAAGAGGTAAAATTTTCAGCCTAACTTACTAAGATGTCATTGCATAAAAGACCAAAGATGAGACCTTTGTGTTTTCTTTTCATTAATTCATGTTTTCAACAATACACAGAGATAAATGTAATTAATTCTTCAAACAATGTGTTCACCTTTCTGCTTAGCTTTCATGAAGAGTTTTTGTAAACAAAAGTGATATTTCTTTTCAAATGTAGATTTCCTGAAATTATACCTTTAATGAATTTATTTAAAAATAGGAATATGCTAGTTGAGAGAACAAAATCACTTTAAGGAAAACAACATTTTGGAATTGAGCTAAACAATGTATATAAAGTTAATTTAAAATGAAAGATCAAGGATTGTAAAAGTTCTTCCCCAAGGAATGTGTGTGTCTATGTGGGGTGGGTGTGTGTATGTGTGTGTGTATGTGTGTGTGTGTGCATGTGCACAGCATGTTTATATGTGTTTACACTTTAGTAGAGATCATCCTGGCCTTGTCCTTCCTTTCAAACTGTCACAACCCTCAGACAACAGAGAACCAGCACAATATCCCTGCATGGCCATCTTCAGACTCTTTAAGGGAGATAGTGAAGGAAAAAAAATCAGTTATAATTTGGATTTGTCTCTTTTTATGACAATGCACTGGTCTTTTAATCAGACCAATGCCTCCTGTGGTTTTAGTTAACGAATAAAAATGCACAAATGATTGTATATGAACTCTGTGTTAGAAAAGGGTTATCACCTTGAAGCAGAACTCTAATAACCTGACTCTGATAACATCAAGTTAGGCTTGCAATTTACAAATGATCATTTCAAAGATGTTTTAAATTGTTTTTATTTTGATTACTTTAGAGGATTAAAAGCCTGAAACTGGTATGTCTGTTTCAATAAAATTCAGCCAAAGGTGAGGAAAAAAACAAGACCTAAGCAAAAGTTAATAGCAAGTACCACTGGCATATTTAATGGGATCAAATTTGATCTTATTTATAAATGCATTAAATGGTTCATCTGCATTTTCTATTGAGTGTCAGGGCAGCGTATAATTAAGAAAAATTGTAATTGTAGAGTATTCTATCATTTGCTTAACAATCTTCCTACACTTTGTTTAACGTTCTTTAAAATGATTCATTCTTTGGAAAGGGTTATGTTCCTTTTCAAAGAGGGCTAGCTATGTCTAAGGACGGGATTCAAAATTATAGTGGTTGGTTTTATATAGATGCTATAAATTAGTAAATAACTATTAGCTGGTTATCCAATTAAAGGAGGGTAGGTTAGGATAATTTATGCAGTTGGAGAAAGGGAAAACTGCTGAGGGAAAAAAGAAACATATTTTTTCTTTATGCTTCATTTGTACACCAGAATCATACTGCTATGGGTACGATTCCATTTGTATTTGGCCTCAAAATTAAAAAAAAAAAAGCATGAGTCAGTTATAAATATGATTTGAATAGATAGACAAGATAATATATTTAACCTTTAGTCAGGGCAACTGTTAAGGACTGAATTGTGTTTTCTTAAAATTCATATGCTGAAGACCTAACCCTCAGTGTGATAGTATTTTGAGATAGGGGATTTAAGGGGATAATTAAGTTAAAATTAGGTCATAAGGGGTGAGGCCTCAATCCAGTAGGGCTGATGTCCGTAAGAGAAGAGAAAGAAACATCAAGAGTGCGTGCACAGTAGAAAGGCCATGTGAGGACAGGGAGAGAAGGTGGCTGTCTGCAAATCAGGAAGAGAGGCCTCACTGGAAATCAACTCTGCAGGCATCTTGATACTAGACTTCCAGCCATCAGAATGTGAGAAAATAAATTTCTGTTTTATAAGTTACTCAGTCTGTGGTATTCCGTTATGGCAGCCCAAGCAGACTAATACAGGAGATGAGTAGAATCTAGCCTCTAAGTTTTAATATCAATTTATACGTTAGAGTAAATGAAACTTGTATCAGTTGGACACAGCCAACCTTACTTTACTTTTATATTTATAAGTAATTATGTTACTTAATATGTGTCAACATTTAAAATAAGCTGCATATAATATCTTTTAGTTTATAAAATATTTTCACATTCATTAACTCATTTGATTACGAAGAAATATGATGTTCTTGGATAGTCATATTTTGATCTCCTAATAAAATCAGTTAATATGAGTGTGAAATCTCTAAATAAGGAAGTAGCATGTTAGCATCCTGCTTTACAGTCAAGGAGGCAATGGAAAGAAAATGGATGTGTAAATAAAATAGAGCCTTGCTACTGAAAGTGTGGTCCATAGATCAGCTGCATTAGCATCACCCAAAAATTTGTAAGAAAGACAGAATCTTGGGGCCTATCTAGACGTATGAATCAAGATTCGAATTTTAACAAGATCCGAAATTGCAAAGTTTGTAAAGCATTGGCTTTGAGCACAGAGTAATAAATTAATTTGCTACATGAACGAAAGTGACAGGCGGACTAACTAAGAGAAAATGCAAGGTATGCACCACCAAGGGCCTTAATAGTAAAGGCAACATTTGCTTTGACTGGAGAAACTGTTTTTTTTTTTTTTTTTTTCAATAGAAGGAATTAGGTTTATGGAGAGAAGAAAGTGAATAGTGTCACCTTGGTAGGACGGAGAATATATGGCTGGGAAGGGCATCCGAAACTTTGGTTGTTTTTTTTGGAAATTAGATTTATAAATCAATATGACAGATATGACAGTGATTAGGAAGAAAAACCATACATCCCATTTTACTTCACATACTTGACAATTATCTGCCTCCACAATGAAAAGAAATGTAGAGATTCTTTTAACAAAGTCTATTGTTTTTAGATGTTATTTAAAATTTTATCCAACTTAATCAACTTAGAATAATTTTGGTGTGGGGTATGAGGTAAGAATTGTACTAGTTTTTCCTCCAATTCTTAATGAAATATTTCAATACAATTCATCATATTTTTAGTTCACTTAAAATAAACCTTAAGTTTATACTAAATTATTGTCTTTTCTTGTATTTTTATGTATTCTGTTACAATTTTTTCCCAGCACTAATAACCACACTGTTTGACTTTCCAAAGCTCTGGAAGATGGTTAATGTATGCTAATGTTAATTTCCAATTGTTACTATTTTTCAACTTTAAAAAATCTCCTTACTTGGTTTAAGTGAGATTTAGCACTATCTTAGCATATTTCTTAAATATTCTGTTTGTGTTTAGAATGTGATTGCTTTCAATATACAATTAACTTTGGAAATAATTCGTATTTTCTCAGTATCCAGAAACATGGTGTTACTGAAGTATTTTATTTTCCTCAGTCAACTTGATTGTTATTTATTCATACAGACAAAACTTAAAACATTCAGTTAATTGGTTAGGAATACTCACTACAATAGATACACAGAAATCTGTTAGTTGCTTGAAATTGCTAATTTAATATATTAAAAATTGGTTTCCTACCTAAACAGCTTAAATATTAATTATACACCTTCTATAACATTATATTACATAAATTATAAATTGGGTTTCTGTGATTAACTCTAAAAATATTTTAGGATTTTCTCCAAAGAGGCAGGTTTTAGTAAATATCTGTTTCACGTACCACTGTTTGAATCCCTGGACTAATTATCCCAGATTTACTTGTGTTCTGCTACATCTATTAAAAAAAAAACTCAGGGGTTAGTTTAACATCTTAAAATGAATTAAAGTACTACATCATATTAATAGAATAAAGAAAAAAATCACAAGATTATTTCAATCAGCTCAGAAACAGCATTTGACAAAATTCAGTACCCCTTCATGATAAAAGCAGTCATCAAACTAGTAACAGAAGAGAACTACCTTAAACTCATAAGGGTCATCCATGAAAAACCCACAGCTATTATAACATCCTACTTAATTGTGAAAGACCAAATGCTTTCTTCTTAAGATCAGTAAATAGACAGGATGTTCATTCTAACTACTCTATTAAACATTTTACCGGAGATTCTAGCCAGGGCAATTAGGCAAGAAAATAAAATCAAAGTCATCTCGACTGGGAAGAAGGAAGTAAAACAATTGCTATTTGCAGATGACAGGATCTTGTATGTAGAACATTCTTTAGGAATCCATATAAACACAAAGTTTATTGGAGCTTAAAAAACAGCCATTCAGCAATGTTAAATGGTTCAAGGTCAAGACATAAAAATAAATTACATTTCTAAACACTAGCAGAAAATAATCTGAAAATGAAATTAAGAAAACAATTGCAATTACAATAACATCAAATACATAAGCCAGGCACAGAAAGACAAATATTGCATGTTGTCATATGTGGGAGCTAAAAACATTGATCTCATAGAATTAGAGAGTAGAATGATGGTTACCAGAGGCTAGGAAGGATAATGGGGAGAGGGTGATAAAGAGGGGTTGGTTAATGGGTACAAAAATACAGTTAGTAGAAATAAGATCTAGTCAGTAGCACAATAGGGGGCTATCTTTATCGATAATTTATTGAATATATTTCAAAATAACTACAGGATTAGACTACATTAAATTTAAACAATGTACAAAAATAGTTCTCCCAAGAAGATATACAAATGGCTAATAAGCACATGAAAAGATGTTTAACATCATTAACCATTAGGAAAATGCAAATCAAAGCCACAGTGAGAAACCTCAAAACTACAATGGAATACCACATCACATGTACTAGGATGGCTAAAATTTGAAAATAACAGATAGTAAGTATTGATAGGGTTGTAGTTATAGAAATTGGAACCCTCAAACACTACTGGTATGGAATGTAAAGCAGTGCCACCATTTTAGAAAATAGTTTGATGGTTTCTCAAAAGATTATACATACAGTTGCCTTATGAACCAGCAATACCTCTCTTAGGGCATATACCCCAAATAAATAAAGTATATGTTCATAGAAAACTTGACGCAAATACTTATAAAAGCATTATTAATAATAGCTAAAAGTAGAAAAGTCTAAATGTCTATCAACTGATGAATGAATAAATAAAATGTGGTGTATCTATACACTGGAATATTATTAAGCAATATAATGAAGACTTATAGATCCTACATATAGACTAACTTTGAAAACATTTTGCCAAAGGAAAGATGCTCATCACAAAATACCACATATTGTATAATTCCACATGCTTAGTATATGACATGTCCAGAATACACAGATCTGTAGAGACAGAAAGTAGATTCCCTGTGGCTTAGGACTAGAGGTTTGGAGGGAAATAGGGAGAGACTGTGAAGCAGTACAGAGTTTCCTTTTGGAGTAATGAAAATGTTCTAAAATTGATTGTGGTTATGGTTGCATAGCCACGTGAAACATGCTAAAAAAAAATTGAAGTTTATACTTTAAATGGGTGAGATGTATGCTATGTAAATTGTATCTCAATAAAAGTGTTATATTAATACAAATCTCAGGGTTCTCTTTCTCCATCATAGAACAACAAAAAAATTCTACCCAGGAACTCAGGGACTAATGAGCAAGAGTTTCCATTGTTGTTGTTTTTTTAAGCAGTGATCTGTCAAGCATGTTTTGTTTACTTCTGTGTTATTTTTGCTTTTTCTGTCAACTTTTTTATTGTATGCTAAATGCAAAACTATTCCTAACTTCTTTACATCCTTAAATGATTATTTTAATAAATTATCTTAAGTATTGGTTATGAAAAATGTAAAATTAAAAGCTAAAATATTTTCTAGAATAATAATCAAATTGATTATTTGAAAGCAGAAAATGGGTGAAATATAATTTGACAAATTGAAAAAGAAAAAAATTATAGGATCTATAAATTTAGGCCCAGGAAACAATAGAAACACTTTGAAACTGAAATAGTAACACTTTTATTAAAACAGAATTTCAGAGATAAATTTAGATGTAATTTTGGCTCATCTAACAGATATTAAAAATTTCATTTAAACTATAGCTGCCAAATGAATTGACCTGAAAAGAATCACAAAGCTCAGACCACTCAGAAGTGCAGGCCCTTTAATTTCCATTTTCAGGTAATGTCTTCATTATTTCTTACTATGTCATTGTATCTGAAGAGGAAGTTCATGGTCATGTATGGCAGGCTAAGTCAATTAGAGTTGTAAACCTATTAATGCTCTCTGGCCTTAAATAGATTTCTTTGAGGCCAGGCGCGGTGGCTCACGCCTGTAATCCCAGCACTTTGGGAGGCAGAGGTGGGTGGGCCACCTGAGGTCAGGAGTTCGAGACCAGCCTGACCAACATGGTGAAACCCTGTCTCTACTAAAAATACAAAAATTACCTGGACATGGTGGCAGGCGCCAGTAATCCCAGCTACTCAGGAGGCTGAGGCAGGAGAATTACTTGAACCCAGGAGGCAGAGGTTGCAGTGAGCAGAGATAGTGCCACTGCACTCCATCCTGGGCACCAGACTGAGACTCCATCTCAAAAAAAAAAATAAATAAATAAAATAGTTCTCTTTGATTATTTTAAAACAGATGTGTCACCTTAGTAATACAGCTCAAGACTTTCATATTTTTGGTACTAGTTCAACCTGTTCAGAATCTAAAGCAAGACAGTGAGAGTGAGACTAGTCACTTGCATAGTTCTAAAAGCAATAACTTCAAATACAAGTTGCAAGAATAGTTAGTAAAAATAAATAAGGAAAGAAAGAAGAAAGGAAGGAAGAAAGAAGGGAGAGAGGGAGAGAAAGAAAAGACATACAATGCCATCTAACTCACTTCGCTTGTCCAAAATGCTAAAGTTTCAGTGACCAGAAATTTGTTATATTCCATTTATACAATGCTATTTTTGCTTCAGCATAAAACTCTGACATGGTGCCAAGTTGTTGAGTGAGGTCTAATCCTCCCAAGTGGGATGGATTGAGCAACTTGTGAGTGATAACATTGATCCCTGGATACCATTGCTCCATTGCCTTATAATATGCTTGGCCAATTAATCAGGGGTTTCTAGCTAGCTACTGGATTGCTTGTCTTTCGCTATCAGGGAGCAAATTTTAGCTATCTCAGTAACAAAATTTGTGTCTTCATTTACATATATGTTCAAAATGTAATTACCCTTGGGTTTATGAAGACATTGATTTCAAATCTGAGTTTTTAATTCACCTGGGGAGAATTTTCAATTGTAACAAATCACTTGCAAGTTTCTTGCCCCTTTATCGTTGGATGACTGAGGTATCATGTGAGTTTTGTTATCTATCTCTAAGTGCTTTCCTTCAGGTGGATTTATATGTAGGCACTTATAGGTGGCTAGCACGATACTAGAAACCCCCCAGTGAAGGCAGTAAGGGTTGTTATTTCTTCTCATAACTCATCAGAATTCACAAAGTCTATCATTTATGCAGCTATTCTAGCCTGTGCTTAGAAAAGATAATTTTATCTCACTGAGTATAATAATATTTGATAAGGACTATGAATTTTAAAAATGAAAGGAAATAATAACAGTGTGTGACACATTAACTCATACAGCTAAACAAGTTCTAAAAAAAAGCTTAAATAGTCTAAAGAAATAGTCTAAGAAAGGAAATAGATAAGCACTCCAGTTTACAAATAGCTAATCCTTCATCACTCTTTACTTTTTAAAATATGAATGTAGTTTATTTTTTCTGTATTTTCTATCTCCTTAATTTTTCCTTGCATTTTTATATTTTATTTTTATATTGACAGAAAACTTGTTTCTTTTTATTATGTACAACGTGATGTTTTGAAGCGTATATACATTGTGAATGGTTAAATCTAGCTAATTAACACACGCAGCACCTCACACAGTTATCATTTTTTGGTGCTAGCACATAACATTCAGTCTCTTTACATATCTCAATAATTCAATATATCATCACTAACTATAGTCATCTTGAGGTATGAGAGATCTCATTAAATTTATTCCTTCTGCCTAACTGTAATTTTGTATCCTTTGATAAACAGCTCTCCATCTCCTCCCTCCCCTAATCACAACAGCCTCTGATGATCATTCTCTCCATGAGATCAACTTTCTTAGATCCACATATGTTAGATCATGCAGTATTTGCCTTTCTGTGCTTGACTTATTTCGCTGAACCCAATATCCTTCAGCTTCATCTATGTTGACACAAACGACAAGATTTCTTTCTTTTTTAATGGCTGAATGTTATGGCTGTATGTGTGTGTGTATACACACACATACATACGTACACACAAACACACATGCACACTATATATATATGTATACTGAAAATGTGATATTTGTATCACATTTTCTTTATCCATTCATCCAACAATGGACACCTAGTTTGGTTCCATGATTGTGGCTTATAATAGGAATAAACATTAGAAATAGCATTATGGTCTACAACAAATTAAAACACTGGGAATGTCTAAAATTATGTTTCAAAAATCTATAAATTCTTAGCTGTCATTTGCAAGTGGTTGGGTAAATGTTTTCAAAATTGCATGTGATGTGGCAGATCAGGGCAATCAATTTTTACATATTTATATTTTGTTATATAAAATTGTTGCAAATAATAACTGAAACATTAGCTGTGGCCATCTCTGGGCACTAGGCTAAGCTTTTTTTAATTCCATTTTTAATTGACACATAATTGTACATATTTATGGGTTATAGTGCGATGTTTCCATAAATGTATACAATGTATAAATAATCAAATCAGGGTAATTGGCCTATTGATCAGAGGTATCTGTCTAGCTACTGGATTGCTTGTCTTTTGCTATCAGGGAGCAACTTTTGACTATCTCAGTGACAAAATTTGTGTCTCCATTTTCATATATGTTCAAAATCTAATTACCCTTGGCTAATTACTCTGATTTGATTATTTGCACATTGTATATATGTATGAAAACATTCACCACTTATATGTGATAAGAACACTCAAAATCTGATCTTTTTGTTATTTTGAAATGTACAATACATTATAGTTAACCATAGTCACCCTACTCTGCATTAGAACACCAGAACTTATTCCTTCTGTATAAGGAATAAGGACATTGTAACATAGTGTTTATTGACCAACTTCTCTCCATCTCCTCTCTCTGCTACCTTTACAAGACTCTGGTAAATACTATTCTACTCTCTACTTTTATGAAACCCAATTGTTTTATATTCCGAATAAGGGCGAGATCATGGGTAATTTGTCTTTGCCTAGCTTATTTCACTTAACGTAATGTCCTTCAGGTTCATTCATGTTGTCACAAATGACAGGATTTCCTCCTTCTTTGTGGCTGAATAGTATTCCATTCTGTATATATACAACAATATTTTATCCATTTATCCATTGATGGACACTTGGGTTGGTTCCTTATCTTGGCTATTGTGAATAGTGCTATAATGGTGGGACTGCAGATGTCTCTTCAACGTATTGATTTTACTTCTTTTGGATAAAAACCCAGTAGTAGGATTGCTGGATCATATGATAGTTCTATTTTTATTTTTTTGAGGAGCCTCAGTGCTGTTGACCATAATGTTTATACTAATTTACATCCCCACCAATAGTAGTTAAGAGGTCTCCTTTCTCCACATTTGTTTATAGGTATACTGACTAAACACTAATAATGCTAACCTTGGTCACTTGGCTAAGATAGTACTTGCCAGGTTTCTCCACTGTAAAGTTTCTCCCTTCCCCACTTTCCATATTTTTTTTGGAGGATTGCTACTTCTTTTAGCTTGTACCTAGAAGGGGCTCAGAAATTCAGACCACAGATATAAGGCTGTGAAAAGATGTATGTTTAATAAGACATGGATAATTGGGTTTGAATTCCAGCTCAGCCTTTGACTGTTTATCTTGGGTGTTTCATGTAACCTCTCTAAACTCAATTTCCTCATCCATCTTTAGTTATCTTAGAGTATGGTACTGCAATGAGGCAACCCAGGTTTAGCAGCTGATAAATGTAAAACAGTGCTCAATAGGTGTTTATTCTCTCTGCGTTTCTGTAGAATCTATTCAATACAAGACATCTCTTGACTTCATTTTTCTCACTAGTCACAGAAGATAGGACAGGGGCTAGATTTCACCCTTGTTACAGAGAATATGGTTCAGAGCTACATCTCACCAAATGTGGAGGTCTATGATGAAAGAGCACCCCCTTTTCTGGCTCCTACCAGCAACAATCTATTCTTACTCTTATCTAAGTGAAGTTTCAGGTGAGCCGGGCCAATTTTTCTGATTGGGCTTATACAACAAATATTGGAGATGTGCAGATGTGCAGATGTGTAGGGTTCTGAAACATTCTGGTTAGTAAGATGCACAAGGTTTTGGTAGTGGTTGTCTGTCTTATTTTCTGTCTCTGCTTTTCCCTAAGATTCCTGGAAAGATAATGTATATACATACACAAGACTGTGCTAATGTAGATGTATACATGCCATTTTATTTTAATTAATCATTTATACAAACTGACTTAAAGTGCTATAAATGACCAGAATTATGCACATATTTTTGTTTCTATCAGGGACCAACTTAAACTATCCTAGAAGTTTTCATGACCTTTAATCCCATTGGTAACAGTTATCCACTGCCATCGACTTCCTTCCTTCTTAATGATTTGCTCTACAACTTCCTGAAAAACCGAACTATTCTAGCCCTCTTTTCTTCAGTAAAACTTGCTGGCTCTTTCTACTCTTGGTCCCTGATGATGGACATCATATTATAAAATATTGGCATACTCTTCTAAAACATCCTACATTTTATATCTCTCATGACTTACTATTTATTTTGAACCCTATTTTCACTGCAAGTTATATTCATATTTCTAACTGCTGCAGGTGTCTCAATTTCTCTAATTTTAAAACCAAACCCATTTATTTCAATACTGTCTCTATTTCTACTCCATATTTCTTTACCCTAACACACACTCACAAAAATGTCTCTGTTTATTTTTTCTTTTTCTTCTCTTTCTTAACAGTACTAGTCACTACCTGAAAGCTTTAGAGGCTTGTAGTAATTTCATTTGTTATATTTAATTTTTAGTCTGTACTCAAATGCCTTTCTATGATTACAAGTACAGTACTTGAATTTTTCAGGGTAAACTAGTATATTTACCTCTTCATGAACTCTGTTAGTTGGAATATGTTTAGCAATTATTTTCCACACAACTCCTTTTTTTTTTTAAATGTACTGTCTAATACTGTCATGATTTGTTTACGTACCTGTTCTCCAAAACTGGTTGCCAAACTCTTAAGTTTGCACCAAAGTTCCTCAAATATGGTGATATGTCACATCCAGAATAGGATATTACTGCTTTGTATTAGTTTGTTCTCATGCTGCTAATAAAGACATACACAAGACTGGGTAATTTATAAAGAAAGAGGTTTAATGGACTCAGTTCCACATGGCTGGGGAATCCTCATAATCATGGCGGAAGGTGAGGGAAGAACAAAGACACATCTTATATGGTGGCAGGCAAGAGGGTGTGTGCAGGGCAACTCCCCTTTATAAAACCATCAGATCTCATGAGACTTATTCACTATCATGAGAACAGCATGGGGAAAACTTGCCCCATGATTCAGTTACCTCCCACCAGTCCCTCCCATGATACAAGGGGATTATTACAATTAAATGTGAGATTCGGGTGGGGACACAGAGCCAAACCATATACAGGGTAAACTAGTATTTTTACCTCTTCATGGACTCTGTCAGTTGGAATCTATTTAGCAATTATTGTCCACACAACTCACTCATGTTTTTTTTTGTAAAATGTACTGTCTAATATTTTCATGCTTTGTTTATATACCTGTTCTCCAAAACTGGGTGCCAAATTCTTAAGTTTGCACCGAAGTTCCTCAAATCTAGTGATGTCTTACATCCACAATAGGACATTACTGCTGCTTTTCACACACAGAAGCTAACTATGCCACCTTTCTTTACATTTTTGAGTTGGCTGTTCTCAAAACATAATTATTAAATAACAAATCTCTTTGATACTATGTGATGTGGTGACTAAATTCAGTACTGTGGCTATTTTAGTACCTGTTGCATCAGGTATTATATGTATTTTCTAATAAATTTTTCATATTTTATATATCTTACATGCTAATAAATAAAAATTAAATATCATACCTAGCTTATCATGTCATTTTAACATAGCTAGCAGAAAAGTGAGCCTATAATTTGAAATAAAAGTATTAAAGTGATATTCTGCTAGCTGGTTGGTTGGACTGCTAGTTGGTTTCTTGCTTAATTCCTAGTGAAAACTGAACGTAACCTGTCTCTTTATTTTTACTGCTAGCATTTTTCAAAATGCTGACATGTGATAGGAACTCAATCAAAGTTTGTTGAATAAATGAGTAAATGAATGAATAAACTCAAATTCGATTCAATTATTCAGAGTAAGAATAATTGATGTTCTTCAACAAATTAAAAACATGATAATTTTTCCACTTGTAGATGAGTTTCTGGAGTTCATCTCAATCAGAAAGAGAAGTTGTATTCACTTGAGAATAAGTAAATTTTCTCATATATGTTAGTATTAAATTTTACTGTCATTAATTTCACAAAAAAATTCCTGGGCAATTTTGATGTCCCTAATATTTTAAGAATTGTATTCTCTTCATGGCACTAGCTGTTAGTATCCCCTACAAAACCTGTGAGTTCTTAGGTATCATATTGGCTTTTAAAGCTACAGCTGTCCTCTTTGTGGAGGAAGTATCTTCTAACATACAGTGGTATTCCTCCATATTATTAATTCCACTCCTGAGAATTACACCAGGCCTAATCATGAGCCACTGGGTGTACTGTATGCAACATTCTTTCTTGATTGTCCAACTGAATTGCAAAGTGCATCTTGATCAAGACAAGAATTGTTTCAAGTGATACTTGTAGTTGTAGATTTCATTTTATACATATCCTCAGTGTCTTAAGTGTACCTATTTGAATCTCACGTACTCACATCTGCATTCATCACACTCAGCTCTTTGTCCTAATTTCTTAACTGCCTACCTTAAAATGTAAAACACAAGTGAGAAGAAAGAGATATACTTTCACAAGTAGCTACAGGATTAATTCCATTTCGTTGTTAGTAGAAACCAATATATTAGGTGAAGTTATGGAAATTATGCAAAAACATCTGTGTCTATGTTTAGGAAATTAATTTGAATGGGGGTTATCTTCTAGTTCTTCTGGGAAAATAACTTTCTCCAAATTCTACTTTCTTTTATCTGCAAGTTTAATTCCATGCCTCCCTCATACTGGAGCCAATTTGTGTCATTTTTATTTTATTTTCATTTTCATCTAATATATACTTAGAATTATGGCCTGCCTCCATAATTTTTTCCTTTTAAACTTAAAAGGCTTTTCAGAAGAGGGGGGCACTTTTCTTCAGTAATCATAACTAAAAGGCGTCCAACATTAAGCTTCTCTCATATTTTATTATTCTGTTTCATTCATTATTATAAAACCAAATTCTTTATCTTTGTTGTCAAAAAAGGCACCATTTTATCAAGAGTCTACTATTTGCCTTGATTTATATACATTATCTCATTTATTTTCCTCATTCAGTCCTAGGTATTATTACCTTTTTTTTTTTTTTTTAAATGGAGTCTAACTCTGTTGCCCAGGCTGGAGTGCAGTGGCACAATCTCACTGCAACCTCTGCCTCTGAGGTTCAAGTGATTCTCCTGCCTCAGCCTCCTGAGTAGCTGGGATTACAGGCACCACCACCACACCCGGCTAATTTTTGTATTTTTTGTTTTTAGTAGAGATGGGGTTTCACTATGTTGGTCAGACTGGTCTCGAACTCCTGACCTCAAGTGATCTGTACACCTCGGCCTCCCAAAGTGCTGGAATTACAGGCGTGATCCACCCTGCCTGGCCTTATTACCTAATTTTATAAATAAGTAAGAGCAAGGTTCAGGAAACCCATATAGCTTTCCTTAGGTAAAGCAGCCAGGTCTCACCAGGTCTGAGTCCCCTGCTCCCTCTTCTATTCATAGATGCTTACTCTTCTTAAGTAGTTGACAAGATTTCTTTCCAAGTTTAGTAAGTTTGATTGCCTGCTGCTATATGTTAATTCTTGTAAAGATAAAGATTTTTTTAAAATGTCCACTTTTTTTTAAAGTAGTTTTGGTATGTTGGTGTATTTTACCATTCTGTAGAATTAGGACAGTCACTACTTCTTTGTAGTTGGCTGTGGAGAGTGTCTGGGGAAATGAACAAAATCAACTATCAGAATGACATCCATGAATCTAGATCTTGGAAAGTGGCACTGCTGTTATATAATATAAAGCTCCAATTCATCAATTATTATTATTATTATTTACAGCATGAGTTGGCCAATGGATAGGACCCCTTGCAGTTGAAGCCTCATAACGGATAACATTTTACAAATATAACCTTGGAGAATTATAGATGCCCTACGGACTTAACAAATTGAAAAAAGATCTTCAGAGATGACACAGGCCATCCCTCAGTCTCTGAAAAGGACAGAGCTTACCTCAGATGTAAAATAGGAATTTTATTGGTCTTCTAATGTTAATCAGCACATTCACTAAGAAAGGAAAGTTCTGGCAAATCAGTAAACAAATACTTGGCCCTACGTTCTGGTTAGTAGCACTCAAGTACTATTTAGTTTCCTTGACCCATATATTTGAAAGTTACATATAATTATCAGAGTATGACAACAGATTCTCACTACTTGTATTATTAGGATGTTTTGGCCCATTAGGATTCTTTGGTGTTTCTGTCACAAGTGAGAAGGTATGTGAATTGATTCTGGGCTAAGGTTATTCAATGGGTAAATATAAAGCAATTATTTTTATCCACAATGAGGTTGACTTGTACTATGCAGTCATGAATCTTTCTCAAACAAAGTAAGAGCTCTACTAACCCTCACACATTTGTCTTGAAGCACGGTTAGAATGCTTGAGATCCCTTTTCAGACTCAGTAAGCTGATAAAACCTATCCTTTATGAATAAAAATGACAAGACTAAAGTGTATTTAAGAAGATTCTCAGAGCATAAAGACACATGTTTGTCTATGCACATGTGTTTATGTGTGTACAATGTGTTCTCTCTTTTTAAAAAATGAACAGGAAATATTAGTCATTTTTGAACACATGCAAAGAACAAAATAATCTCAGCTAAAAGGAATGGTTTTCCCTTTTTCAGGAAGTTTAAAGCAAGTGTCTGAATATAGGGCTTGCAAAATAATTGTTTTCTCCAACAGAATTATAGCATAATTACTGAGGGGCCATAGTATACTTTATACTGCTCTGTTTGAACTCTCTATTTTTTATCCTTTAGAAGATTTTACTGCACTGAACTCAGAACAGAGGTCACAGTCTACACATCTGACAAATAAGTACAAAAGGAGAAATCCTAAATAGAAAATGCTTAAACTACATTCCACATAGTAATATAGCACCACTTTTAACCCTTATTTTAGTTATGCTAATCCAATATCTAACCCATCCAAGATTCAATTAAATAAGGAATTCAGTAATGTACAGTGGAAAGCTACTTACTCCCATAAGAGACTATTTATTTTTAGCTATAGGTTCTTAGAATCTTCTGGATACTTTCCTAGTCTTTTCAGTGGAAGCAATGTGAATACATACACCTATCAAGTCTAAGTATTTGGAGTTGAATAGAAATGTACTCAGTATTAAAATACAAGTGATCATATATCTCAGGCAAAATGTACTTCAAAGAGCCTTTTGCCATCCACTGAAAAGAAGAAAATGCCATAGTGAAGATTCTATATCTCTATGTAAATGCTTTGAACAAGTGAAAATATTAATGATTAAAAATTATAAATACTAATGATTAAAATTAAATAGTTGTACTTCAACACTCAGTTTCTTTTTATTTTCAGTTTTTACTCTGAAATAATCATGTCTGCATTCACTGTCCTATATTCCAAGTCTAAATTAGAATGGTGTAATTCTGAACTATTTGTAAAGGGAATTTAAAACTTAAGTGAGGATAAAAGGCTAGGTTGATATTCATTCTACCAGAAAATTTATAACTCAAATTGTGGGTATTATTAAACTTTGGGATGTAATTTCTGCTTTTGGAAATTCTTTATCTCCTTTGTTTTCTAGTTTTTATAGCTGTGTGACATAAATTCTAATTTCCAAACAACTTAATAGCAAAATTTATTCTGATGTTCTAAAGTCCTTCAAAAGTATTTAATAATGGAGACCACTCAATTATATTCCAAAACCTAGTGTTTAGCTTATATTGTTTTTATAATATGTGTGGAGTAAAGAGGAGGGTGAAACTATTTTCAAACTACATGTAAAATAGGACAAAAATTCTACCATTTTAACACACGTTAATAACTATTGCTCATACCTTCAAAATTTTTCATAGAATGGAATACTATTGATTATATTTTCATGAACTATCATATGTAAAAAGAGTATATATAACATGTATGTTCAGTTTTTAAAGGTTAATAATAAAACCTGAGGTACCACTGCTTTCCTTCAATGGTGGTGCAAACATTGCTACTGCCTCACCTTTCATTTTGGAATTGATCACTGTCCCGAAGTTTGTGTCTATCCTTCTCTCATATTTCTTTTAATTTTATTATAATACATATAGGATATGTTAGGTATTTATGAATTTAGAAAGATCATACTTCTTTATGTAATGACGCATTTTTGTCATAACCACAACTTTAAGGATTCTGTACAGCTAAACGAGCTTAAGTTTAATCTAGGTATTTCCCCTTATTTAATTTATTTTTCATCTCTTTTTGTCCTTATGTTTTATGTGTACCTTGCATATGACATATGACTGAATTTTGTTTTAATAAGTTCTGATATATTTTAAATTGAAAATTTTAGTTTATTTACTTTGATTACAGATACAGGGTTTGTTCTACACTATGTGTTTTTTTTTTTTCTTTTTTAGGTTCAGCTTTTTTGTCGTTTTTTTTTTTTTTTTTTTACATTCATTTTCTTTCTACTGTCTTGTCTTCTTTTGGGCTGATGGCTAAGTTATATTTTCTTTTCTTTTTCTGCCCATTCAAGAGTTTGGAATTTGTATACTTGTCTTAGTCTGTTTGGGCTGCTATAACAAAATACTGTAGGCTGGGTAGCTACTAAACAACAGTAATTTATTTCTCACAGTTTTGGAGGCTGGGAAGTCCAAGATCAAAGGCTTGACAGTTTTGGTGTCTGGTGAGGGCTTGTGTCACAGACAGTCATTCATAGACAGTGTCTTCTGCTATATCCTTATATGGTGGAAGGACCAAGGCAGGCTCCCTGGGGCCTCTTTTAATAAGGTGTCAATTTTAATAATAGTATCAATTTTGACTGCAACTGGCAATCTATAAATGTACAAGTTTTTCACATTCTTGCAAATGTTGTGTATTGTAATTATATATTTCTTTTAGTGCTAATTAAATTGTGGAAAGTTATTCTTTATTGTTGATATTTTCATACATTGATTAACTAGTATTTTCACTAATCCCATTTATAAGGGCTCCATCCTGATAATCTAACTACCTTCCAAATGTCCCATCTCCTAACACATCACATTGGTGATTAGGTTTCAACATATGAATGCTGGTAGGACAAACATTCAGACCATAAAAATACTTGATTTCTATTTTTTTTAGTGGTTACTCTAGAAATTTCAACAGCTGTGTTTAACTTATACTATAAATTATACATAGTTAATTTATATTTATAGAATAAGTACCCCAATGTGAGATTTCAGCATCAAGGGTTGCATGTTTAAATAGATTACAAAAATGAAATCATATCTTTCGCAGCAACATGGATAGAGCTGGACACCACTACCTTAAGTGAACTAACAGAAGCAAAAAATCAGCTATCACATGTTCTTGCTTGTAAGTGGGAGCTAAACAAAAGATATACGTGGACATAAAAATGGGGAAATTAGACTCTGAGGACTCCAAAGAGGGAGGGTTCTCGCTTAAGTGGAAGCTAAACAAAGGATACATGTGGACATAAAAATGGGGAAATTAGACTCTGAGGACTCCAAAGAGGGAGCGTTCTTGCTTAAGTGGAAGCTAAACAAAGGATACATGTGGACATAAAGATGAGGAAATTAGACTCAGGACTCCAAAGAGGGAGGGCAGAGGGCGGGGGGCAGGGAGGATTGAAAAATCATCTACTGGGTACAATGTCCAATATTTGGGTGATGGATACACTAGAAGCCCAACCTCCACCATTATGCATGTACTCATGTAACAAATAAGCCCACGTACCCTCTGACTCTGAACTAAATATATATATCTACTGCTATCTTGTCATCCAAAGGAATTAGTATCAATTTTGACTGCAACTGGCAATCTATAAATGTACAAGTTTTTCACATTCTTGCAAATGTTGTGTATTGTAATTATGTATTCCTTTTAGTGCTAATTAAATTGTGGAAAGTTATTCTTTATTGTTGATATTTTCATACATTGATTAGTATTTTCATGTGTGATTTATATTTTGCAAATTTAGCTATTTAATTACCATGTTTTATGTGCTCATTATAAAATTAATCATTTATTTGAGGCCGGTATTTTTCAGTGTCTATATAACAGACTTGAGTTAGTTGGTTAATTTATCTTGAAAATTTTCTACACCACCATGATGACACTTTTATTATATAAACTACCATTTAAACAAATATTTGTTTATATGTCTTTCTCTCTCCCAGACGGGAGCAATATTATATTCAAATCTCTACTCAGGTTGCCTAACACAATGTTTATGATGCCAAATATAGAGGTCTTTTTTCTGGGCTGCCAACACTATCATCACTCAATATAAATTATACTAAACTATTATTATATTTCAAAAATGACCTCAGAAAGGAACAAAAGAGAATGTGTTTAGTCAGTTTGCCTTACTTAACTATAAGCTAACTACTTCATTTTAACTGTTTTGTTCTAGTAGATATTACTAGATAGTAGTATCTAGTAGATAGTTGACCCTTGAACAACATGGAGTTGAACTGCATGGGTATACTTTATGCAGATTTCTCTATGCCTCTGCCATTCCTGAGACATCAAGACCAAACCCTCTTCTTCCTCAGCCTACTCAGTGAGAAAACAGTGAGGAGAAAACATTTTTATTACAATACATTTTCATTTCATGACTAGCAAATATATTTTGTCTTATGATTTTCTTTATAACATTTTCTTTTGTCTAGCTTACCTTTTTGTAAGAATACAGTATATGATACATATACAAAATATGTGTTAATTGATTATCACTAAGGCTTCTAGTCAACAGTAGGCTATTAGTCATTACATTTTTGGGGAATCAAAAGTGATATGCTGATTTTTGAATGTACAGGGTTCAGTGCACCTAACCCCCACTTTGTTCAAGGGTCCACCGTACTTTATTAAATAAACTTAAGTGAAGGTGGAAGAAGATTATTACCTTCCTACCCCTTAATTTTTTTTTTTAATCACTTGGACATAGAGCTTTGAAAACTGGCACAAGACAGGGATGCCCTCTGTCACCACCCCTATTCAACATAGTGTTGGAAGTTCTGGCCAGGGCAATTAGGCAGGAGAAGGAAATAAAGGGTATTCAATTAGGAAAAGAGGAAGTCAAATTGTCCCTGTTTGCAGATGACATGATTGTATATCTAGAAAACCCTACCCCTTAATTTTTTAACCAGTAATTGCTTCTAAAATGTTCTTTTCCATTAAATGCATTCATTTACAAAAGGAGCTCAAACCAAATAGCAGCTACTCTTCTAGGAAGTAAAAATTGATATTCAGTTAAGATATTACTTTATATCCCTTCATATTTTTTTAATTTTTAGACAAATTGCTTTAATATTATTTGTTTAGTTTTGAATTCTACTTTTTTTCTTTTTCTTTTATTATTATTATTATTATTATACTTTAAGCTTTAGGTTACATGTGCACAACGTGCAGGTTTGTTACATATGTATACATGTGCCATGTTAGTGTGCTGCACCCATTAACTTGTCGTTTAGCATTAGGTATATCTCCTAATGCTATCCCTCCCCCCTCCCCCCACCCCACAACTGTCCCTGGTGTATGATGTTCCCCTTCCTGTGTCCATGTGTTCTCATTGTTCAATTCCCACCTGTGAGTGAGAACATGCGGTGTTTGGTATTTTGTCCTTGCGATAGTTTGCTGAGAATGATGGTTTCCAGCTTCATCCATGTCCCTACAAAGGACATGAACTCATCATTTTTTATGGCTGCATAGTATTCCATGGTGTGTATGTGCCACATTTTCTTAATCCAGTCTATCATTGTTGGACATTTGGGTTGGTTCCAAGTCTTTGCTATTGTGAATAGTGCCGCAGTAAACATACGTGTGCAAGAAGACGTTTATGCAGCCCAAAAACACATGAAAAAATGCTCATCATCACTGGCCATCAAAGAAATGCAAATCAAAACCACAATGAGATACCATCTCACACCAGTTAGAATGGCAATCATTAAAAAGTCAGGAAACAACAGGTGCTGGAGAGGATGTGGAGAAATAGGAACACTTTTACACTATTGGTGGGACTGTAAACTAGTTCAACCATTGTGGAAGTCAGTGTGGCGATTCCTCAGGGATCTAGAACTAGAAATACCATTTGACCCAGCCATCCCATTACTGGGTATATACCCAAAGGATTATAAATCATGCTGCTATATTTTTATATTTGATTCTGAAAGCTTATTTTCATTTAGCTATTTGATTTTATCAAGGTGCAACTATATAACAGCATTGGGATGGGCCCACTACTACTATTTATTTACTTATTTATATTTTTAAATATCTATTTTTTAATGCAGTAAGCACCCATAAAATCACTACCTCCAACAGAAACTATGATATTAATAATAGTCTACTTCCAACCACTTGATTTTTACCTCCTGTCCACCCATGTCCTTGCCGCCCTTACCAAAATTAATCATCATCCTACATCCTTGTTTTTCAAATTCTCTTGCTTAAATTTAATACAGTTTTATTTCTTCTCAATGTATTCCTATAAGATGTGTGCGTGTGTGTGTGTGTATGTTTGTGTTAAATTAAAAGGGCTTTAAGGTAAAACAAAGACCAGATTTTTCCATCAATAACAAATAAAGGTCTTATTAAGTATCAAACTTTACTAATAATTTCAAGAATACAAGCAATCAAGTGGGATAGGAGAAATAAGAAAACATTTAGGCTATACTGCAGAACTCCCTAGTTTCCTGCTTTCAGCATTGTATCCATGCTTTTGGCTTGAAATAATATATGAGGAGATACTTAATGAGATTCAAGGGTCACCTCACACAACTAGGAGTATTTAATTAAAGAAATATCTCTAGTTTCTACCGCAGAGTGTACATTATGTTATCTAGGAAGATATGGCTCTTAAATCTATAGGTATTAGGTGTCTTTACATTAGGCAAACCTCAATCAGAAGCATCTGACTCAAAGCATTCCAAAGGTAAAGATTCTTCTCCTGGAATGAAGCATTAGTCTATTTGTCTGGAGACCCAGTTGTTCGTACAGGGAAATTATACTGGATCACCTGCCTTATTTTATCTTCCCCAGAAGTGTCCATCACTATCCCAACTCTCTACTCCCTTAGTAATTGGGGAAGAAATGTATCACATCAGCTTTAATTCTTTCCTTCCCAGATTCTTTCTATGATGTGTTTGGCTAAGCTTAACCTGAGGACACTCCTCCACAGGAATGACAAAAGAATGGGGGAACCATGCATTCTGCTGCTTCTAGCTGTGTAAATTTCCCCAGTGGTCCTTACATTCTATATTGCTAGTAACCATTGTGTTAAGGCCCTATTGTACTTCTTGTTTATATGTAGGCTGTCTGTTTACACTGGGATCGTCACTTTTTTATGAGCTTAATTTTATTTGTTTACTGACTGGCTGCCAGATGAAAAATGATTACTTACATATTACAACTCAGAATAATATTATAAATGATAATAGTATTTATTATTCCAGTATACATATAGAATGTAAAGTTTCATGTGCTAAGACAAGTATATCTGGAAGCATAAAGCGAAAAAAGTGAACACAAGAAAACCTCATGAATAACTGAAAACTTAAATATTGGGCTAGTAATGCATCTGCTCTTACTCATCAATACATTGTCTAATATAAAATGCTGTCAATTAGTAGTATGCCTTTTTCAAATGTAACAGATAAACCTCCTTGGCAAAACAATCAAGTTTGCCAAGAAAAAAGGAAATTAATTATTGGATGCAAACAGTAAAGACTAAAAATACAAAAAAAAAAAAAAATCATCCTAAGATGTACTCCTGAGAGGAAACATTGTCCCAAGTTACATAATTACTGAGGCTGTTAAAAAGTGAAGACACACAGTTAACACTAAGATAAAAAGAGAAAGCATCTCTTTATCAAGCAATAATGTTGAACATCACATAAAATCAAAATGTGATATCATAAAATGTAAAAGGATAATGACTGTCATTTATTTTACCTAAATTTGAATGAACAATTGATTTGCTGAGAATGAATCAACTCATTGTATCTGCATTCACAGGAGTGAGAGTTGCTTGACCACTTTTTCTTCTATCACTGCAAGCCTACAATAAAAGAGGAGAGTTTCTACTCTAATTTTATTTATCTAATGTCTATTTTGTGAGCCATTGGGTGGACTAGAACAGGTGTTGAGTTATCAAACTAACAGAGTACAGCTACATATGCAGCAAGGAATGAGAGCTAAATGATGATAATCCACATATTCTTGTATTTATAAAGAATCCTGGCAATCAGCAATAGATCTTTATTTGAAGTTAAAAGATATAGCAAAAAATGTGAATATGTTTTCATCATAGCTATTTTAATGTGCTCGTTTTAAAGCATGATGTTCAAGGAAGTGGGCAGATAGTATAAGATTCTGCATTTTGGCTGGGCATGGTGGCTCACGCCTGTAATCCCAGGACTTTGGGAGGCTGAGGTGGGCAAATCACAAGGTCAGGAGTTCGAGACCACCCTAGCCAACAGGGTGAAACCCCCTCTCTATTAAAAAAACACAAAAAATTAGCTGGGCGTGGTGCTGGGCGCCTGTAGTCCCAGCTACTCGGGAGGCTGAGGCAGGAGAATCCCTTGAACCTGGGGGTGGAGGTTGCAGTGATCCGAGATGGCGCCACTGCACTCCAGCCCAGGCAACAGTATGAGACCCTGTCTCAAAAGAAAAAAAAAGATTCTGCGTTTCCACACCAAATATGGTGACCATCATGGGAAAAGGTGCTCATATGAGTTTTTGAAATGAAAAAGTGGGACTTTAAAAAATATCTTCATGGACTGATAATGCTTCCAAAGACCATCTTTTGATGATTCAATTGACTTGTTTCAGTGAGTATACAAAACAATATAGTGAGCATCTTTAACAAGCCAACAAAGAAAAACAGTCTTAGGATGTGGAAAATGCTTGGTCAAGTCCCAAGGATTCTGTTTGAGCCCGTGGATTTATATGCAATTAAAACCACATTTACCACAACTTTTTAGGTTTTTTTTCTTTAGCCATTTTGAGTATGATCTATGCCTCTTGAAAATAAGAGAATTCTAAAAACAAAATATGTTGTTGCCATTAAGAGCCTAGATTCTGGAGTAAGGCTGAGTAGGTATAAATCCTGGCCCCATCTCTTGCTTATTGTTTGGCCTTGCACAAGTTTAACTTCTCTGTGCCTGAGTTTCATCATGTATAAAAAATGAGGACCATGAAAAAATTACTTCATAATATGCTTGGTTAAAATGAGATAATATATGCAAATCATTTAAAATAATTTAGTATATCTGGCATACTTTCAGAAATTAACCAATGTTAATATTTTTTCTTACCATTTCTTTTTTTTTTTTTTTTTGAGAGAGTCTTGCTCTGTCTCCCAGGCTGGAGTGCAGTCTCGGCTCACTGCAGTCTCCGCCTCCTGAGTTCAGGCAATTCTCCTGCCTCAGCCTCCCAAGCAGCTGGGCCTACAGGCACCATGCTCAGCTGTATTTTTAGTAGAGATGGGGCTTCACCATGTTGGCTAGGATGGTCTTGATCTTCTGACTTCTTTATCCACCTGCCTCGGCCTCCCAAAGTGCTAGGATTACAGGCATGAGCCACCACGCCTGGCTTTTTATTAGCATATGAATTGGGAATCATTAAAAGCCAAATCAAAATCTGCAAGGAAATGTAAAAACACGGAATACTTCTTAGAGCTGAATAAAATGAAAGAATGGAATGGGAATGCATTACCTAAAGTCTCAAATTGAAAATTTAAAGAATATTTCAAGTAATTTGTTTGTAATTCCCCTCAGTGCTAGTTGTGTGTATTCTTTGCCCAGTGTTGATTTGGGAAGGATGCATTGACCTAGCAAATGGTTCAAAGTGAAGAGGACTGCCCAGAGCCCAGAGGAGCTCTGCCCAGAGGAGGAGATTGTTTTGAGGTTATACAAAAGCCATCTTTAATTTCTTCACTCTTTTGGGAATGTAAAGGAGGGTTTATAGTCTTCCATGAGAAATTCCTTCATAATTTCCATCACTACACTTAAGTGAAATGCCCAAATACTGGGACTGCCAAACAGTTACCACCATTTAGGTGAATATATGTGAAATAGAATTTTGTTTTTAATTTAGTAGAGAGAATGAGCAGAATATAGCTGATGAGATGTGGAATCCGAAATGATTCAGGCACGTATCATCTAGTCAAATAGAGTTTGGTGAAAAATTCTAATTAACACTTATTAGTAGCACTAAAATATCCATTTAAAATAATTGAAATGTTATTTTTAAATTAAAAGAATGATTTTCTAAAGGTGGCAAATTTTTATAGGTATAAGAAGATAGAGAAAAACTGATTGAAGGGGAGTGAGGCTATATATACATCTGTAGTTTTCAAACTGGGGACTTTAAAGTCTAGAGAAATTGTAAAGATCTCACTTGTAGCCATGAACATGGGAGCTCTGGGGATATTTTGGAAATTGCTTATTGAGCTATTTATTCAAGTATTTTTAAAATTATAAGCATTTTATAAAATTAATTTATTTAAAGTAACTTTATAATGAAGATATTTTTATCTCCATTTAACAGATAAGAAAATGAAGGCATAAAGAAGTATAGTAATTTGTCTAAGATCATACAATAGGCAAGTGACAGAGCCAGGATTCCAGCACAGGGAATCACACCCTTAACCAATCCAATCTGCTGCCTCTCAGGATTAGTAATTATTTGATGACGGAAACAACAATGGCTCTAAATCACCTCCTGTTTATATTCCCCACCCTTCATTTTTCTGTCTTCATCTCATCTTATTTCAAGAGTAACTTTCCTCTAGGCAGATAAAATATGTTCATCAAACATTGATATAACTTGTGTGTTCATTTAAAGCATTTTCACTCTCTCTTCTCTAAAAATTTATTCATCTTGTTTCTCTTTCAAACTTAAATCTAACTAACCCACCTAGGGCTTTTATATGAAAAAAATAATAATTTTGCAACACTCATATCCAAAGTGAATTGTCCAGCTAAATGAGTGTACTTTATATGATTTTGAAAAAATTCCCATTAAAAATTAGATTTTAAATGTCATAAGAATAGAGATAGAACTTTAGTTTAAAAATTAGATGGGAAATAGCAAATACTCATTTATTTACATATATATGTTGTTTTTTTTCAGAGCTCATCAAATTGTAAACTTCCACATGGTGAGTCCTTCATGTTTATATTGTGTCTGAGTATATCCATTCTCTACCTAATGATCACTTCAGAAGGAAGTGTTATTGACTTAATAAGTAGTTCAAAGTGGGAAGGTACCTCAAAGGAGTGGATTTCCCAGGATGTAGCTAGTGACTCTTTAACTGGTTTGTTTTCTTACCCAGGGAACTTTAGGGTCTCAAGGTAGCTTGATGTCCTATTAGGACTTGCGTTTCCTCGTTTTAAAACTCCTACAGGTAAAATATTCTTCATCCCAGGATAATTTAAATTGAGTATAATCAAAATAGAAGGTGGAAAATTCTCTGGAAAGAGCTTAAAAGCTGAAACATAGGGAGAATAAGAATCTTGTCCCAAATCACACAGGTAGTTAGTAATGGAGCTGGGGCCATAAAATGCACTAAAGGAATACCATTTAATAACAACATGCAGAGTTTGTAAGAGATCTGAAGAAAAGTTTCTCATTTTATTGTCCCTACTGCCTTCATTATTTAGGTGCATCATTAACAATATTAATAACGATTGCCATTTTAATAGCATTGTAAAAGCCTTATTATAGTCAATACTGACTTGTGCTAAAATAAATGTTATGTTTTGCAAACCATGTGTAATATTCTAAAATAGTGGTATGGTTAAAAAAATTCTAGCTTTGACTATTCAAATTAAGAGAAAAGGCAAGACCAAGGACACCAGATACCACCACCTTTGAGCAATTTTTCAGAAGTTACTTAACTTCGGTATGCTTTGATTTATATTAAAAAATCACGTCATCTCTCAAACCCATCAGAACGCTCAGCATTCAAACAAACAAACAACCCCAGAAAATAACAAGTGTTAACAAGGATGTGGAAAATCTGTGACCATTGTGTACTGTTGGTGAAAGTGTTAAATGGTGTAGCCACTATAAAAAACTGTGTGGTGGTTTCTCAAATAAGTAAAAATAGAATTATTATATGATCCAGCAGTTTTACTTCTTGGTATATACCCAAAAGAATTGAAAGGAGGACCTGGAAGGGAGATTTGTACGACCATATTCATAAAAGTATTATTCACAATAGCCAAAACATGGAAGCAATCCAAGAGTCCATCAATAGATTAATGGCTAAACAAAATGTGGTATATACATACAATGGAATATTATTAGCTTTAAAAAGGAAGAAAATTCTGACACATGGATGAACCTTGAAGACATGATACTAAGTGAAATAAACCAGTCACGAAAAGGCAAATATTGTATGATTACACTTATGTGAGGTAGCTAAGGTAGTAGAGTTCATAGAGACAGAAAGTAGAATGGTGGTTGCCAGCGAAGTTTTCTGGATACTAGTATCCAGAAAGACTGGGAAGCTGGTGTTTAATGAGTATAAAGTATTATTTTTCAAAAATAAAAAGAGACTGAAGATTGGCTACACAATGATATAAATATAATCAAAATTTTTGAATTGTACACTTAAAAATAGTTAATGTGGTAAATTTTATGTTAGATACATTTTACCATAATTATAAATAAATAAAAATTCACAAAGGAAAAAATTATCCCAGATGATTCTAGTGTGCAGCCAGGGTTTAGAACCACTATGCTTGTCCACACCAGTGATACTCAAAGTGTGGTCCCTGGATCTGCAGCACTAACATCACCTGGAAGCTTAAAGAAATAATTCAATATTTTATTCACCCTACTTAAAAGAGCATAGGAGAACCTGTATTTATATTGGGTAATCACTAGTCCTTGCCAAAAATAAAATTTATAGCTTAGTAACTTTTGTAAAATGAATAAAATTAGCATATTATAAGTATTGCAAAATTGTCAATACTATTATATGTTCACCTTATAAGATATTTGTCTATAAGGTAAATAGTTTCACTTTAAAAATTGTTCAAATCAATAATTATACAAATAAATTTAGAAGAAAATCATTATAAACGAATGTGAGAAAGTTTGTTTTATGTGAAGAAACGAACACAGATTAGTTTATGTGGACAAATAAACGTTTTCAAGGGTACTATTCAAAATATTTAACAACCTTTTTTACATGGGCAAATCTTTGGGGACACTGGCCAAGGTGCTGAAGCTGAATTCTGCATGCCCTCTGACTTTCCAAGCATTACCTCATTGGCTAAATATCAAGTGGAATGGGAACATTTTAATATATTAACAGTCGGCCTAGATACACTTTTGTGTAGTGATGAAGATCAGTCCTAGTTGTATTTTATTAGTTTTTTTGAAAAGTGCATAATTGCATGTGTCTTCTAACTGATTTTAGTTTTAACATGTTACACTGAAAAGATGGAAATGTCATAAAATTTAATGTCTGTACTTGAATTAGATCAAGGCTCTGAAAAGTTGGAGATATTAACACAATAGCAGGGGCTGAATTACAGAATATCAGAATACAAATTGGAAAGAGCCAAGAGTGATTCAAGATAAGCATGTAATCTCACAAGATAATAATAGTTAAGTGGTTTGCGCGTCCTATTATTTAAACTGTGTTAAATGGGTCAGAAAAAGGAGGTGGAAATGTTTAATTGGTTTGTGAAACTTACTAAATTTAAAAACTGACCAAACAAAACCTAAGAAAATGATAATTCACAATTATCAGAATGCTTCCAGGTCTGAGGATTCTGAATATCTTGCTTAGTAGTGTTTCAATAAGTATTTTTGTATAGTAGATATATTATTTTCCTAATCATAGTTGTTAAATTACTTCCAGTTTTACACTGTCACAAAGAACTTAACTTCCATGTAATTTTTTTTTTGCAGTTGCAAGATTTAATAGAGTGAAAACAGAGCTCCCATACAAAGGGAGGGGACCCAAAGAGGGTAGCCGTTGCTGGCTCGAATGCTTGGGTTTATATCCTGATAATTGTTCCTCCTGGTCTGCTCTCAGGCAATAGATGATTGGCTATTTCTTCACCTCCTGTTTTTGCCTAATTAGCATTTTAGTGAGCTCTCTTTACTACCTGATTGTTCAGGTGTGAGCTAAGTTGCAAGCTCCATGTTTAAAGGTGGATGTGGTCACCTTCCCAGCTAGGCTTAGGGATTCTTAGGCAGCCTAGGAAATCCAACTAGTCCTGTCTCTCGGTGCCCCCTCTCAACAGGAAAACCCAAGTGCTGTTGGGGAGATTGGCCGACGACCACTCTAACTGCTTCCTGCTGAATTGGGGCATAGTAGGGGTTGTGCAGTTGAGATTTCCTTGGGAGGGATGCCTTTGATGTCATTGACATCAGAGCACGAGCTAGCAGGCTAGTCCAGGGGTCCATGGTAGCTCTTAGTCACTTCCATATAATTTTATAAGGAAAACTCTACATCGTGCCTAGGAAAAATAAAAATATAATTTTTCTTAGGATAGAGACACTAGTTTCTTTGTTTTATGGTTCTAATAAACCTCTGAGAAGACAGTCAAAAATAAAATTGAAAGTTTGTTTTTATTCTTTATTCTTGAATCACTGAGGGTAAGTTACTGACAAGGCGCCCCAGCAGTTGGAAATATTCTAGAATAGATTTCCTACAAACAGAATGTTATCTTACATAATTACACTGCAGCCAACAAAATCATGAAATTAACAGTTATATATGCAATGATCTAATAAGCAGGCCCACTCAAGTTTTGTCAGTGTCCCGATAATGTCCTTTATAGTAAAAATCGTTCAGTCAATAATGACAGGTTGCCTTTGTCATTTTTTTAGACTTGTTCAGTAATTTTGCACAACATTCATAAAATTGGGTTTGTTTTCTGTTTCCTGATGACCAGATTCAGAAGTATGCACTTCTGGCAGGAATATTCCAGAAATCATCCTTTGTTTTTGTTGTATCTTATTAGAAAATATATAATTTATTAACCTGATCATTGGGTTAAAGTGTTTGTCATGTTTCTCCACTATAAACACTCTTTGCTCTTCAGTCTTTTTTTGATATGCAATAAGCACTTTGTAGGGAGGTATGTGAAACTATATAAATATCACATTGTCATCAAATAGTCACCCACAATTTTTATTTATTTATTTGTTTTTCTTTTTTAAAATCTTTGTGTGTACATAGTAGGTGTATATATTTATGGGGTACATGAGATGTTTTGATACAGGCATACAATGTGAAATAAGCACATCATAGAGACTGGGGTCTCACCCAAAGTCTGCTGTAACCACTCCCTGGCTACTGCCTGTGTTCACTCAAGGCCCTGGGCTCTACAATCAGCCAGTGACAAAGCTAGCCAGACCTGTGTTCTTCCCTTCATGGCAGGAGGGTTCCCCAGGTCCCAGGTGGGTCCAGAAGTGCCATCTAGGAGTGAGGGACTACAGTAAAAAACTTTAAATATCGGCCAGGGGTGGTGACTTATGCCTGTAATCGCAGCACTTTGGGAGGCTGAAGTGGGCAGATCATGAGGTCAAGAGATCGAGACCATCTTGGCCAACATGGTGAAACCTCATCTCTACTAAAAATACACAAATTAGCTGGGTGTGGTGGCGTGTGCCTGTAGTCCCAGCTACTCTGGAGACTGAGGCAGGAGAATCGCTTGAACCTGGGATGCAGAGGTTGCAGAGAGCCAAGGTTGGGCCACTGCACTCCAGCCTGGCAACAGAGCGAGACTCCGTCACAGACAAAAATAAACAAACAACAACACAACAAACAAAAAAAACCCTTAAATATCTACCTGGTGTTCTATTGTCTTGCCCTAAGTGAGCTGGCACTGAAACCACAAGACACAATCCTTCACACTCTTCCCCCTCCTTTCCAAAGGCAGAGAAGCCTCACCCTGTGGCTGCTGCCATCCCACGCGGTAAGAAGTACTGCCAGACTACTGCCCATGTTCCCTTAAGGCCCAAGGTCTCCTAAGTCAGCCTGGCCTGGGATTCACCCTTCAGGGCAGTTGACTCCTCTCTGTCCCAGGACAGGTCCAGAAATGCTGTCTAAGATTCAAGTCCTGGAAATGGGTACCCCAGGAGTTTACTAGGTGCTCCACTTTCCTGTGGCCATGCTGGTACCTAAGGTGCAAAACAAAGTCCCCTTTACTTTTTTCTTTGCATTTCTCAAGCAGAAGAAGTTTTGCTCCATAGCCGCCACAGCTAATAATGCGCTGAGTCTCACCTGAAGCCAGCAAGTCTCAGAGGCTCATCCAAAGCCCTCATTGTAGTACTTGGGTATCACTGCTGGTTATTCAGGGCCCAAGGGCTCTTTAATTAGCAGGCAATAAATGCTGCCAGGACTGAGTCCTTTCCTTCAAGGCAGCAGGTTCCCTTCTGATTCTGTGTGTGTCTAGAAATGTCTGAGAGCTAGGGCCTGGAATGGGGGCCTCACAACTCTGACTGGTGCCCTATCCTGGTGTAGCTGAGCTGGTATCCCCTTAGAGTTGCTGTTTTTATGGTGCAGACTGCCTTTCAAGTTTACTTGGAGACACAGAACACTGTAATCCTCTGTGGGAATGTTTGTAGGCACTCATGTTCTGACTGCTAGGATTGGTGATTTCCCTCTAGCTAGGTCTGGGATTTTTTTTTTCCAACTTCAGAATTCAATGTTATTATATTACCCCATCTCCCTCAACAAACATTTAGGATCAGCAATTTAGTGTGGAATGGTGCTTGAAGTCATTCCACTTTTCACTTTAGAGCATAAGCTGGTTCCACTTACGATACTGTGTATTCTAAGCCAGCATCATTGTAACTGATAGTCTCTTCTCACCCAGCTTTGATGGTGGGGCAGCTCCCATGTCTGCAGCTGTGGTCCAGGGGCTGTCTGTGCTGAATACAGCAGTTGCTGTGACACTAGGCACATGCCATCTGCAGCATCTCTTTTTTCTTGCATCCCTGTTTTGAGCACAGGTATGTAAAAATCTTCTCTTTCTTCTTCCCAGGCTGATAGTCATATTCTCTATCAATGTGATCGCCAACCACCATATCTGGTACCTGACAAAGTTCTCCCCGTTCTTCTGTCTCCTCTCCTCAAGTGGAATGAAGGGGTTTCTTTTGGAGCCATGAGCTGTGCAGCCTGGGGTTAAGGGAGGGGTTTTGCTAGCACCTGCTTAGCTGCCCCAGCTGGTGTCTCTGTAGGCGGCATGTTCCCCCAGCCCGCTATTTCTGGGCCTAGTTCAGCACCAAAACTCCCCTAAGAGTTGCTGTTTTTAAGGCCGAGATTGCCTTCCAAGTTTACTTGGAAACACAGAACACTGTAGCCCTCTGTGGGGATGTTTGTAGGGATTCATGTTCTGACTACTGGGATTGGTGATTTCCCTCTGGCTAGGGCTGTTTTAAATCCTCCCTTTGTGGGTGGGGTCAGCTGAGTTTGATCTGCGTTTCCTTTCTGCTCTAAAAGGACAGCACTGAGTTCATTGCCTCATGATTGCTGTGCTCTCCCTCCCCAGCCCTCAGAGATGCTCTCCACACCAGGCCTCTGCTGCTAAGGGTGAGGGAGGGGTGGCATGGGCAATTCAGGACTGTTTTTTCTATCTCTTCAGTGTCTCTTTCAGCAATATTAAGTTAAAACCAGGTACTAGGAGTGCTCATCTGATTTTTGTTTTTTTATGAAGGTGTTTTTTCTGTGTAGATAGTTGTTAGCTTAATGTCCTTGTGAGGATGGACAGTCGGTGGAGCTTTTTATTCCACTATTTGTTCCCTTTTCAGTGTCACCCACTGGTCTTAATACCTATAGATGTTTCTTGGCTGAATTAATTATTTGGAAAAAGTTTTCCAAACGGTAATTTTCTAAATGAATTATTGCTTTCGTATTTTGTCGCTGGCATTCTACTGTGACAGTTTCTGTACTCTCAATTAATTAATTAATTAGTGTCTATGTGGGCTCATGGATTCTTATTTTCATTGATGAGTTAATGTTAGAAACAATTGCTACTTAACTGTATGTTTAGATTTAAAATAAATTTTTTCGAATATAATTTACTTGCAGTAAAACAAAACTATTCTTGGTGTATTGTTCTGAGTTTTGACAAATGTATAAATCAGTGTAACTACCAAGCCAGTCAACACATGGAAGATTTCTGTTACTTTAAAATGGTCCCTCCTGTTCCTGAGCAGTAAACCTTTTCTCCCATGTCTAGTGGTTCCAGGCAACCACTTATTTTTATTCAGCTTTGCCTATTGTAAATGTAAAATAAACAGAACTCTGCTACATGTGCCCCTTTTGTGTCTGGATTATTCTGCTCATTATAGTGGTTTTGATACTTATGTATGCATTTCAGTGTATGTGTAGTTTTATTCCATCATAGTATTCTATTTGTATATCAAAAGTTATTTATCCTTTCACTGATTGATGAACATTTTGGTTATATTCATGTTGAGAATAAAGCTACTATGAATATCCATATACAAGTCTTTTTTGGCATTGGAAATATTTCTATATGTGAACAAATACTCTGAGAATTGCTGTTGAGTCTTTTGATTAATATGTGATTGCCTTCATAATAAACTATCCAACTGTTTTTCAAAGTGGCTGTACCATTTAATATTTCCACCAGTGACAAGTGAAAGTTTCAGATGCTCCACATCATCATCAATGCTTGGTATTGTCGGTTTTATTAATTGTGATCACTCTAGTTAGTGTGTACTGGTGTCTCTTTATGGTTTTAATTTGCATTTCCCTGATAGTAAGCATTTGTTTATATATTTACTGGATATTTATATATTTTCTGTTGTGAGATGTCTGTCCAAATAGTTTTTCTGTTTTTTATTGTGTTTTTTTTCTTCTTGCTGAGTTGTAAGAATTCCTTTTTATTATTGAGATACAATTCCTCATCAGGCATATGTGTTACAAATATTTTCTCCCAGTCTGTGAATTTCTTTTTAATTTTCATATAAGTATACTTAAAGATTTCTACTATATATAGAAAATAAAATATATAATATATACAAATTTATTATATATTTTATTTTATTTTATATAAAATATGTAATATTTGTTTTTGATTTAATATATTTAATTATATATAAAATAAGAAAATAATTATTTTGTTATTTAATAATATCATCAAAATTATATTATTAATATCATTAATATTATAATGTTATATTATTATTTTAATATAATATAATATAAAATAATTATTTTTATAATGTATTATATATAAAATGTATATTTTATTATATAGAAAATATATATTACATAGACAGTATATAATATTTTATTATATTTATATAAAATAAAATATGTAATATTTTATGTATGTAAGAAAAAATATGTTATATATATTTTCTTTTTATCTTTCCTATGGTGCTGAGTAATTTTCTTAAAGGTGTTTTGGAAGAACAGGAGTTTTTGACTTTGATGAAGTCCAATTATTTTTTTCTGTTATGCTTGGTGCTTTTGTGGGTGTGTGTCCCTCCTGAACAATCTTGGCATATTAAACAACAGCCTTGATGGGACTCCTATTCAGAATTCTGGAATTTTTCTCTATGATGTTCTCTGCCCTATAAATCTCACCCACTTTTGCTTTCCTGAAATTCAATCTCTAGCTATTCAACACTTTAAAAAAAATTTATTCCTGAATATCTTAAGAGTTAGTTACTGACAGAGTGCCGCAGCAGTCTGAACACGTTGATGTAGTCACTAGGAGGCTGCCATACTCTACTGAGATTTCCTATCCTTGTCTTCAGACCAGAAAATGTCTTCAGACAGAAAGTCTGGGTGAGTTTTGGACTCATCTAATGAATTTCCCTTTTCTCAGGGATAATAGCCATGCACTGCCTTTTGCCAAATATATCAAACCAGTGGTATTATATATTTTATTCAGTTTACAGTTGTTTATGCTGAGAGGGCAAGTTACTCCATTAGGTACAGGTAGAAGTTCTCTAAGAGACTAACAATTCAATTTTGAAACAGACATTGAAAAGTAAAATGTAGGCTGCAACACCATTCTTTCTTATTAATTTCACTTTATAGAATTAAATTCCGGAACCACTGGATCCCTGAAGTATACTTTCATAAATCCTACAAATTCATCAAGTCTATATAAGCACTGCCCAGTTCTAGTTGGAGCAATATGACTGGATTTTCTCAAGTAAAAGTGAAGTCTAGTGGGTGATGTTCAGGAATATGAGTAACAGGAATAAACACTTCCATGGACCTTCAGAAATCATGATGTTAAATACATAAATACATAAAACAATGTGAGGGGTGATCCTAAATGTCAAATAGAAGTACATACTTATCCTTAGATAGACCTAGTAAATGACTGAATGCTTTCATCCATAATTATGAACCAGCTCTAACTAAAAATGCAAAGATATATTAAAGTGCATTAAAATGCAAAGTATAAGTTAATCTCCAAAAATAAACTTTTGCTTCAATAAAGCTTATCGGACTTATCACATTTCTCCCCATATTCTCATCTGCCACAATTATTCTTATAAACAACTAACTTTCGTTCTTTAAGGTTAAAAAATCATACTACCCTTGAACCATACAAATTGTTCATTGTGGATTTTTCATTTTCTCATTATCTAGTAGAAATACCATATGTTTCTGAACTCTGACCATGATGATAATATTTCTTAACATTAGTCATGAATAGTGAAGATAATATAGATTGATAAGAATTTTATGAGAAATTCGACTGTCACACAGAAATTGAGTCTATCTTTTTCTAAGTTCTCCCACAAGGTTTTTCGTTTAATTGTTTCTATTCAGTGTTATTGTAGCTAGACACACAAAAAAGAGTTTGAAAGAAGCTTAAGATTGCTTAAATTTCACTTTATGTAGCAGAAGAAATAAATTTGGAGAGACCCAACTTCACTCCCCTCTTTAATTTCCATCCAGCTTAATAAAATGTACACAGTAAAGTTGTGGAACAGGGTGTTTGGCTACAAACAGGGCAAGATACATGGTATGTGGTAGGAGATCATCTGCACGTGTTTCATTTCACAGAACTATTGATAATTATTTATCAACAAAGAGCTTCTTAATCATCTGGAGTCTCAGTTATTTTATACAATCATAAATAATAATAATCTAAAAATTATCTGTGCCTAGCAATCTCAATAGAATCTGTTAAGTGTTATTAAGATGTGTAAGCATGGGCTGGGCACAGTGGCTCACGCCTGTAATCCCAGCACTTTGAGAGGCTGAGGCAGGCAGATAACCTGAGGTCAGGAGTTCAAGATGGCCAAGATGGTGAAACCCCATCTCTACTAAAAAATAAAATACAAAAATTAGCCGGGCGTGGTGGTGGGCTCCTGTAGTCGCAGCTACTTAGGAGGCTGAGGTATGAGAATCACTTGAACCCGGGAGGCGAGGTTGCAGTGAGCCGAGATTGCACCACAGCACTCCAGCCTAGACAACGGAGTGAGGCTACACCTCAGAAAAAAAAAAAAAAAAAAAAGGAAAATGGAAATGTAAGCACGAAATCCAATTTATAGTGGCTTTATGATGACAGAATAGAATTCCTGCCCATTTTTCTACTATATTACTAAGCTAATGCTTCTCAAACTTTTGGATGCCTGAGAACCACCTGGAAGGTGGGCCTTCCTCCAGATTTTCTGATTCAGTTGGTCTGGGGTGAGGCCCAAGAATTTGCATTTCTAAGAAGTTCCCAGGTGATGCTGATGCTGCTTGGAGAAACTGCATTCAGGAAAACACAGCATCAGAACAGAACTGTTTTCTCTAGGCAGACTATTTCACAAGTTGTAAATATATTCTCTAACTTGGCTAACTGCCTGCCCTTGAAAGGGAACTATAAATATTGCTTTTATACTACATTTAAGTGTTTTAATTCCTGTATTTGTAACAATAATGTTTGTTGCAGTGATGCAGTTTACATCTATTATAATTCCATCTATAACTAAAGAGCTTCTTTATTCTCACTTCTTTATTCTAGCAAAGCCCAGGCTTCTGTATTCGATCACAGATTTTATGTTTGTTTTCCTTGTCAGACCAAGTCTGATTTGTGGATTTCCTTTGAATATGTGCCCCATACTCTGATATGTAAGTTGTTTTAGACTATAAGTCAATTATTTGGTCACCCCTTACATTGTCCCAATAACTTATTTTTTCCCTTTTTTCTATAGCACAGCATAAAATTTTCACATTATGCACTGCCTTTCACATATGGACCACGATGTATTATTTTCCACTGCTAAAAAGATATAAATTCAAGTGAAGATTATTAAATATGAGCCTTTTATCCAATACACAACTTATCTTTTAAAAGATAAGCACCTTTAACACAATTAGAATTCTATGCTAATTTAGACTTCTTCCATTCCTTAATTTCTTTTCTCATTGCTTTATCCCTCCTGACACACATGAACAAGTGTTGGGTACGTGTGTGCACAAACACACACAGAAACAATGTGCATAGTGTATATGCATACATGCACACACACTGTTGTTTGATTATCAAAATAATATCAGTGCATTTACATAGCACTTATGATTATACATATCACATACTGGAAAATGCTCTAGCATTTATGTAAACAAGAGAGATGAGGCATCAGATTCCCCTATATCACACACAGGTAATCAGCACGATTTAGTTTCTGTTGTCTCTTTGAGTTCAACTCTTAGACATGAAGAATATAAATCATCTAATAACAATTACTTTCACATATCATAAATATATAATAATGTACATTCAATTCTGCTTTCCAAAAGCAAGCCTTATTGATAGTGATGTCTGTATTTTTTACCATCTGAAATATTATTCATAAATATATTTTTGTAAATATTGAGGAAGCAAGTCAGAGTTGGCTGCTGGATAGTAATTATCAGCTATAAAATTAGATTTTTTTGTTTAGGTTCACAGAAACCTAGGTTTAAAAATCTGGGAAAGAAATTCCTTTGAGCTAATGATAAAATCACCCAATTTACAGATGAGGAAACTAAATTTTAGAGTGTCTAAATGACATGTGTGACACATACAATTTGGCAGAGATCCTAGATTAGAACCAAAGTGCAATATCTAGAACTGTATTCTTTCCATTACCCATGGCAGGAACATAACTTCAAAAAGAATGGTGATCCAAAAAAAAATCTGACTTTAGTATTGAAAGAAATTTCAAAGATACTCTCTTTACTTGTAGTCTCCACTCCATAACCTTCTCATCTTATTCTTAGACTGCGAACAGTTGAAATCTCAAAGGAAGCTGTAAGCATCACTGACTTTCAGGAGGATGAGAACAGTATGCAACAATATTTATCAAGGTATCATACTATGTCTAGCATGAATAATCACCAGGTTATAGTAATAAATGGATACCCATATATTATAGTTCTCATCAGCCTCTAAAATCATGTTTTGTATTATCTATCTTACCAAATATTTTTTATGGATTAATCGTGTTATACTAGGTACTGAACTTTCAAAAATATGTTCTTGCTCAATAATGAGTATATGAACTAAGAAAATTTCTATGTTGTTTTGAAAACCAACCTTTGAAACAGCACCATGATACACCTTTCTGAAAGAACAAAATGAAACCTCAAATCAGACAATTAAGCTGGATGAGTAACATGATTTGAAGCACCAAAAACATTTAATCAAGGTGAGATTATGCCTAGAATCTGACAAATATCCCCTTATCTGCAACATCAACCCTACTCAGTAGGAGAAATAAATTTCTAGAAGGCTTCACATCTGAGTTTGAATGTTTCCACCCAGCTTCCATGATATTAAATATTTGAAATCTTAAAATAGTAATGCTACAAGGAACTTTTCAGTTTATCTAGATGAATGTTCACTTTATAGATGAACAAAAAAACCAAGGCCCAGAAGAAAGCATGTCTTTGAAAAGGTCATACAGTGATTTGTAGGAGAGCTTGGAGTGATACCTCTTCAGAAGACTTCCAAACTATTATACACCAATTACTTGGTCAAGACAAATGGAAACGTTGTTGTTCTGGGTTCTATAGTTACCCATTCTCTGTTTATTCCTTGAGTCACTTTGCTGCTTACTATTCACAGTAAGTGAAATACCTTGAGCCCTAAGCCCAGGAGGTTTAGATTCTTCTATAACTTTCAATTTAATTGAAGCTTTACCTTATTTATTACAGCAGGAGCTAAAAAGGGAACTTTTTTTTAATAACAAAAACATCATGAAAGTTATTATTCAGTTTGGAATGTTAAAGAAAGTGAATAAATGTGTATCTATAAAAAGCTCCTTCCTATTGGTTTAACACAAAAAGTGAACTTTGCAGAAGTCTATAATTAAAATCTAATTTTTTACTTAGTTTTATATTAGGCAGCCAGAATTCCTGCTTTTAAAATGATGAGTTTTTAAAGCAATGACTAAACTTATTTTGTTCAGTCCAACTTCTTTTTATTCCTTTTTCCATGCCACTGACATCATATTTTTAAGTTACTGACTCAAACTTTGGGGCTTTGCCACAATGTGGAGCAAAGGATAGGGAAAAGACTAACAATAGTCTAAATGTTAACACCTGAGTTCACAGAAAAATGCACACAGCCAATAGCTAAGGAAATGCATTTCTTTAATTGCTAAAACACCAGAATTATGCATTTTAGAAAGGTAAAGACAAATTCATGTGTAATTCTTTATTGTCAACATCACAATAAGAAGAAAATTAGAAAATGGAGGAGGAAGTTATAGACTCGGAGTGTGGAAATCAGGATTAAAATGATCAGTTTCTTCCCATCAGAGTGACTTCAAGTAAGTCATTAGACTTTCCTGAACTTTAGTGTACTCAATCAAAAAACAGATGTAATTATATCCATTTTCCTTGCCTACTCCACCATGCACATGTATAGAGTTATTATGATTATTAATGTTGATAATAAATTTAAAATGCCTGGAATTGAACGTGATATGTTGTTGTTAAGAATGTACTTAGAATTCAATAGATTGAACATATGAATGATATAAACCCATATCTGACTACTATAGATCAAGTAATTCTAAATACCTCAATTCTATAATCTGAATATCTGTTTTAACTCACTGAGAGATTATCTTTGAGATTATGGTCAAGCAGTATACACAGTTCGATTGCATAAAAAAGATATTCCTTTCAACAACTGATATAGGTGCTTTAAGAAAAAGATCTAGCCTAAAAAGAAAGGGTATAAAGAAAATGCCTATCATTTTAATCATTTTCTCTTTGGCTTCTACCAATTTTTAAAGTGTGTTCCCAAGGTGGAAGAATGGTTCTGGGCTCTAATAAAAAAAATCAGACAAAAGGAAAAGGTATTGTGAAAGAGGCATGCAATTTACTCTGCTTTGCAATGAGTTGTGCCATTACTAGGCCAGACAATGTGCTCAGTTTGAGAGAAGAGAGAGGCCCTGTGGCTGACTCCCATAGCATCCTGTTACATAGCTGGGTCACTAGGAGCCATGTGCAGGTAATGATGTCATCGTGAGACTGGAACTTCCCTCTGTGTGGATACCTACAGGCTTGTGATTTCATAACAAATGAAGGAGTGAGATGAGAATGGTTAATTCTGTTCATTCTGACACTGATGGTTAAACAATGTGGAGACAACAGATGGGGAGTGAGTGTCATGTGTTCCTAGAAAGATTCTGCTCTGTCAGCAAAAGTATCCACTGGTACTGTGAATATGAATCTTCAAAAAACATTTTCTCCTCAATTTTCTCTTGTCATGATAGTGAAATTTACAGTGAGTATAGAATCTCAGGCCCCTTATAGAAATTATAGTAAGTCAGAGATAGGGCCCTGGAATCCATTTCCCAAATAGAGTGTGGTTTGGAAACTGCTTATCTAAGATGTGCTGAATAGTTTATAACCCTTCAGAGAGTATGAGTCTGAGGGACATAAATTTATTGTTAATATACAAGAAAATATAAACAAGAACATATAGTGGAGTGATAATTGAATTCAAGCATTAACAATAAAGGTTATAGAATGTCATATAGATGAATGCTGAGAGGCTTCAAAATTAAACACTTTAAGATACTCAATTCAAATCAACTGTATTATGGAGAGTTCATAATATTTTTGCCTTTGCAGCCATTTGTACTTAGAGCTTCACTTACACCTAAATGAGAAACTCAGTACTTATACTTCAGTCTGTGGCAGGAGAACAAGTGTTTTAGTTTGTTACTTTTTCCTGAGATCTTTAACAGGTAATCCTGTGCTGTTATAAAATTCAACTTCAATTTGGAAGTTGACATCAAAATTTTAAGAGGCGATTCTATCTTGTTCATTTATAAATGCACTTATCAAGGATTTACTGAGTACCTACTGTATACCAGTCACCAGACAAGTGAACATTACCTTAAATATAGGTATTTGAAATATAGGCACTGAATTCCTCATTGAGGTCTAAGTGAAGCTGTAAATACAAATGGGTGCAAGGGCAATAAATAAGGGTAACACTCATTTTCTCACGTAAGAGGGTACAGAATCAGCTCACCTTAGTGGAAAAATAAGTTATTATTTTAAAAAGGAAACAATATTTTAATTATTTGACACTGTAATCAATTAAAAGTGAGGAAATGAGAGAATAGGATTAAAAGGAATTTCAAAATGAAAAAAATCACTTACTTAAAAAGACAGATTAAAGGCAAGCTATATCTTAAACAAGTCTTTAAATTACAAAATCCAGAATTTGAAATACAGGTTAGATAAAACTGGTGAATGGCCACAGGCTTACACACATTTTCATTAATTTCTAATCAACTGTGTTATTTTGAAAGAGACTAACGGGCAGATTAGGCTTGGATATGGATGAATAAAAAAGAACAGATTATCAATTAGACAAAGGTTAGTGAGCAAGGTAAATTAGGCGAACACCTGGAATCATCATAGATCAAGATCCAAATAAAAATCCTATATTCTTGTTTTGAAGCTTAAAAATCCATACGAAGACATTTCTTAAGAAAACCTAAAGCAAATTACAGGCAGTCTATCATCAACTAAGAATGCAGATTAAGTTTGCTTATTTAACCCCTGAGGCATTGTTTTCTCATTTATTAAATGGTAATAATACATTCCACAATTCCAAAAAGTCTAAAGAATCTAAATAGAAAGATTTTTCATCAGTTTGGCACAAAAACTCATTTGGCAGCAAAACTGGATCTCAAATAATAAGAAGCAATACAAGGTCTTTACTTATCCCATTTATCCCAGTAATATATCTAGGAATATTTTTGCCGCAGAAATACTGAAGTGTTTATTATTCCTGAATCATTGTATATATGTAATGGAACTTGAGTAAGAATCATGAGGCCGGGCGCAGTGGCTCACGCCTGTAATCCCAGCACTTTGGGAGGCCGAGGTGGGTGGATCACGAGGTCAGGAGATCGAGACCATCCTGGCTAGCACGGTGAAACCCCTTCTCTACTAAAAATACAAAAAATTAGCCGGGAGCGGTGGCGGGCGCCTGTAGTCCCAGCTACTCGGGAGGCTGAGGCGGGAGAATGCCGTGAACCCGGGAGGCAGAGCTTGTAGTGAGCGGAGATCGCGCCACTGCACTCCAGCCTGGGTGACAGAGCGAGACTCTGTCTCAAAAAAAAAAAAAAAAAAAGAATCATGAAAAGATTGTTCTTAGCACTTGATAAGATGATTATAAATTATAAATATAAGCATTTATAATTCATACAAATTATAAATTTATATGAAAGCAAAAGACAAAACATAGACAAAACACCTTTGGAGACAAAGACACAGTATAGCATAGTAATGACAATGTTGGACACTAGAGCCAGACTGAATGGTTTACAGTCCTATCTACATGACTTACTGTGTAACTATGGAAATGTTACTTAACCTCTCTATGACACAGTTTCCTCTTCCGTAAAACTAGAAAAATAAAAGTACCTACTTTATAAGATTGTTTATAGCATTAAATGCATCAACATTTGAAAAGGGCTTAGAATAATACCTGGTGCAAAATAGGGTCATATGTGCTAATTAATAAAATAAGGTGGGAAAAATTTCCCTACGTATCACATTTTATCTAAGACAATATGATATTTTTGTAGGGAGAGGACAAAATCAATTACAGGAACACAATGGAAAGGCAAGAAAATACCCATAGTTAAATAGAATGTTGACATGTAACTAAGGCAGCTAGACAAATCACTGAAAAAAGAAAAAATATTTAAGGTTATTATTTTATTTATTTATTTATTTATTTATTTATTTATTTATTTATTTATTTATTTATTTTGAGATGGAGTCTTGCTCTGTCGCCCAGCCTGGAGCGCAGTGATGCAATCTCAGCTCACTGCAACCTCTGCCTCCTGGGTTCAAGCTATTCTCCTGCCTCAGCCTCCTGAGTAGCTGGGATTACAGGTGCGTGCCACCACGCTCAGCTAATTTTTTGTATTTTTAGTAGAGACGGGGTTTCACGTGTTAGCCAGGATGATCTCGGTCTCCTGACCTTGTGATCTGCCTACCTTGGCCTTTCAAAGTGCTGGGATTACAGGTGTGAGCTACCACGCCCAGCCTAAAGTTATTATTTTTAAAACGAGAAAGAGATTCTACCTCACGTGATATACAAAAATCAGCTTTCTATGGATTAAGAACTTTAAAGAGAAAACTTAAGAACTTTGAAAAGTAAACATAAGAACTTTCAAAAGCAAAAGCTATTTTAGAAGAAAATATAATACATGTCTTTCTGACATTGAGTCAGAGAAGAATATTTTGTAAAAGATGTCAAAAGCACAACTTAAAAGTTTTAAAAATCAGATGACGTAAAAATTAAGGACTTTTTTTCTCATAAGCACTTTAAAGAGAGTATAGAGAATGTGAGAAATTATCTGCAATTCTTACAGCCAGCAAAAAACTATAATCGAGTATATATACAAAGAGCCCATAAATTAAAATGACATTGAAAATTAACAATAAAAATGTACAAAAGTATGAATAGGCTTATAACAAAAGATATATGTATATATAACTAATAAACTTACAAAAAATAAGCCAACATCACTAGTAATTGATAAAATGCCATTAAAGAACACAATGAGACACCATCTCCACTACTCACCAATAAATTTAATAAGTATTCTGATAAAAATAAGTTTTGGATAGGAAATGGATCTTTTACACATTGCTTGTAATAGTGGAAAATAATGCAACCACCTTCGAAAATGATTTGGTGTTGTTTTATAAAGTAGAACATTCCCAGATACATAATATTCTTAGATATATGCCCGAGAGAAATTCTTGCACTGGAAGGCATAACAAAAAAAAAGTCCACTGTGGCATTGTTCATGTTTATAATAGCAAAAAACCGGAAACAACAAAAACATCTATAAACAGTAGGAAGATAAATATATTGTGGAATTTTCATAAAATAGAATATCATACAGTAATAAAAATAATCTATAAATATTACATCATAGATGAATCTTATAATCATAATGTGTGGTGAATAACATAAGTCTTAGAAGACTGCATGAAATATGTTACCCTTTTAGAAAAGTTCATAAACAAGAAAGTCAAGCAATATATTTTATAGTATCCCTATGTTTAATAAAATTGTTAAATCATGTACCAACAAAAAAATTTCATATCATGGTCACAATTTTCTTTTTCTATTATATTTATCAAACATAGTAATTCTTTTTTTTTAATTATACTTTAAGTTTTAGGGTACATGTGCACATTGTGCAGGTTAGTTACATATGTATACATGTGCCATGCTGGTGCGCTGCACCACTAACTCGTCATCTAGCATTAGGTATATCTCTCAATGCTACCCCTCCCCCCTCCCCCCACCCCACCACAGTCCCCAGAGTGTGATATTCCCCTTCCTGTGTCCATGTGATCTCATTGTTCAGTTCCCACCTATGAGTGAGAATATGCGGTGTTTGGTTTTTTGTTCTTGCGATAGTTTACTGAGAATGATGATTTCCAATTTCATCCATAATGTCCAACAATGATAGACTGGATTAAGAAAATGTGGCACATATACACCATGGAATACTATGCAGCCATAGTAATTCTTTTAACCCCTCTTCAGGTCTCTTCTAGTCTTTCTCCTTTAGTAATTACTTCAAGTGATACTTTTATGAAGATATCAGCAAGGACACCTTGGATTTGTTGAGTTTTATGAACTGTGAAATCTTTCACTAGTGTTTTTTTTAACCACAAGAACAACCCCTACAGAAAAGATACCTATTCTTAACGTATCCAGGATCTACAACAAACTCAAATGAATAAACAAAACAAACAAACAAACAATCCCATCAAAAAGTGGGCTAAGGACATGAATAGACAATTATCAAGACATACAAATCGCCAACAAACATATCAAAAAACGCTCAACATCACTAATGATCAGGGAAATGCAGATCAAAGCCATAGTGCGATACCACCTTACTCTTGCAAGAATGTCCATAATAAAAAAAAAAATAGTAGACGTTGATGTGGATGCCGTGAACAGGGAACACTTCTACACTGCTGATGGGAAGGTAAACTAGTACAACTACTATGGAAAACAGCATGCAGATTCCTTTAAGAATGAAAAGTAGAACTACTGTTTGATCTAGCAGTCCCACTACTGGGTATCTACCCAAAGGAAAATAAGTCATTATACACAAAAGATACTTGTACCTGCATGTTTATAGCAGCACAATTTACAATTGCAAAAACGTGGAACCAACCCAAAAGCCCATTAATCAACAAGTGGATAAAGAAACTGTGGTATATATATATGATGGAATACTACTCCGCTATATAAAGAAATGAATTAATGGCATTCTCAGTGACCTGGATGAGATTGGAGACTATTATTCTAAGTGAAGTAACTCAGAAATGGAAAACCAAACATTGTGTATTCTCATTCATAAGTGAGAGCTAAGCTATGAGGATGCAAATGCACAAGAATGACACAATGGATTTTGGGGACTTGGGGGAAAGAGAGGGGAGGCGATGAGGGATAAAAGACTACATGTAGTGTCAGTGTATACTGCTCAGGTGATGGGTGTGCCAAAATCTCACAAGTCACCACTGAAGAACTTACTTATGTAACCAAACACCACCTGTTCCCCAATAACCTATGAAAATAAAAAAATAAAAAAAATAGTGAATAAAATGGTGCTCAGAGTGTGTGGCAAACCTAAGGTCATAAAGCTTAGGAGGAGATCCAGGATTTAAAATCAAACATTTTAACTCCAATTTTTGTACTTTGCTCTGCTCTTTTTTAAGGTCCAAATGATAATTCAAAAGCCTGAATGTTCTAGTGGGTACTTTTACCCCAACATTTTAATAAAAGCATATATTATTTTTCTGCTCCTAAAATCAGTGCATTATCCTCTCTTACTTCCTTCATTAAATAATGTGACCAGTATGTTCAGTTGAAACCATAAATTATCTAATTTTTCCTTCTACACTGTCAGCTATCAAGTCCTATAAATTCTTACTAATATCTTTATTACTTTATCATATACAGCTTCTATGTGCTCCACGCTGCAAAGGACCTGAATGTTCTGTACTTCCTCACTTTTGTTCCTTCCCTTCCTGCTCTCTAGAATGAGTGCTTTCCTTTCTTTCTTACTTGCCAAAACCCCTTAAAATCTATCATACGCACCCCTTCATTCAGGAAGCTTCTTATTGCTCCTCCAATTTTATTTTTTCTCTCTCTGTCTCTGCCAATCTCTCTCTTTTTCTTTCTTCATATCTAGATTGTTCTTGATTTGTATTCATCATAAGCCACTTGCCTATTTGCTTTGTAGTTTGTGAACCTATCGTATTATTTATCACCATTACCAGATTGTAAGGTTTGTGCTGGCAGGTACTTTATGTCACTTATCTTTTTTATTACAGCATGGCAAAATTATGGAGTAGGTAATAAATAAATGTGTAATGACTTAGACACAAATGTGAGGGAAACCTGTAGGCTTAATGTAGCCATACGATAGGACATTACAGCAATGTTCTACTGATTTAGATTTTAGATTTAACATGAGCTACAAGAAGTATAGTAATCATTTGTAACTATGACAACCATTACTTATTGTGTTTTAAATCAATTTATTTCCTCAAGTTTTTTTTTTTCTTTCTTTTTTGAGACAGGGTCTCACTCTATCACTCAGACTGGAGTGCAGTGGCATCATCACGGCTCACTGCATTCGCACCCTCCTGGGCTCAAGAATCCCTTCCACCTCAACCTCCTGAGTAGCTGAGACTACAGGCGAGCACTACTATGAGCAGCTAATTTATGTATTTTTTTTTTAAGTGCTGGCATTACATGTGTGAGCCACTGCCCCGGCTCCTTTAACTTTTTTAAAGGAAAGTTTTGTTACTATTATTTTTGAGAGAAAGTCTCTCCCTGTTGCCCAGTCTGGAGTGCAGTGCTGTGATCTCAGCTCACTGCAACCTCCGCCTCCCGGGTTCAAGTGATTTTCATGCCTCAGCCTCCCAAGTATCTGGGATTACAGGCCTGTGCCAACATGCGCGGCTAATTTTTGCATTTCTAGTGGAGACAGGGTTTTGCCATGTTGCCCAGGCTAGTCCTGAACTCCTGGGCTCAAGTGATCTGCCCCCCTTGGCCTCCCAAGGTGCTGGGATTATAGGTGTGAGCCATAGCTCCCGACCAGGTTTTTTAAAATAAAGTTTTAATATTGCTGCCTCTATATTTGATGTAAGGGCACAGAATATTGGATAATTTCAATGGATTCCTAGAAAAATAGTTTTTGCAAATGTAAAGCCCTTTCAACTTTCAGGACCAAGTAAAAAGCCTGGGGTTTAAATGTGTCATGAATCTTAAATTATCTTTTCAAAGCAGCTGTTCATCTACTTTGGAAAAGTCAAAGCTATGCCTTTCTCACTAATACAGGTGATGTATGCAAATAATGGAAACACATCCCCAAATGAGAAGAAATAGGAAGCCCTGCACTCAACTTTGAGCTAGGCAATGGTAACAAATTAATACTGAGCGTGTGTTAATTTATATCCCTGAGTTCTGGGCAAGAGAAAATGTCAAGATAATACTTAAGTGTATGACTAAGAAACACAGTGGAAATTCATGCTTTTAGGTGCAAATCATATACAAGTGCTAAAATTGAATGTTCCTCCATTTATTATCATGAAAGTTAATGATTTTCTCTGATCTCTTCCTAAGATTGCAGAGACCAAATCCTGACCAGCCTGTTTTTTGACAGTTTAAATAACAGAAAGTTGGTCAAAAACACTAAAGAGAGGTTTTGACTCTTGAATTCCCTAATACAAATTTATTTCTCCTCTTTATTTCTTACAAATTATTTCCTGCATTTATCACGTTGCTTCTTATCATTTTTGCCTGAAGAACTCTACAAAAATGCTTGATTTTTGTGTCCCAAAATAAGACATTATGAATCTGGTTTACTCAGAAACATGAGATTGGGTACTAATGATTGGACTTATCATAAGTACACTTGTCTTCTTGGTGAATAAAAAGTGTCTATAGGTTATGATTGGTAAAAGGACAGTCTTTGGAGTCCGACTGTCTCCACTCAAGTATCAGCTCTGACACTCACAGTTGCAGTTTCCCAGTTACACTTTCCGGAAGCAGAGTAAATTTCCCATGTGAGTTGCACAACTTTGGGAAATTTACTCTGCCCCTCTAGGTAAAATACTTCATTTAAAAATATGGCTACAATAATGATATTCAATTCAATGTGTGTTGTGAGAATCATGTGAAATAATATACTTAAGTGTATCAGTTTTTGTTTTTTTTAAGATGGAGTCTTCCTCTGTCGCCCAGGCTGCAGTGCAGTGGTGTGATCTAGGCTCACTGCAACCTCTGCCTCCCAGGTTCAAGCGATTCTCCTGCCTCAGCCTCCCAAGTAGCTGGGACTACAGGCGCCTGCCACCACACCTGGCTAATTTTTTGTATTTTTAGTAGAGACTGGGTTTCACCATGTTAGCCAGGATGGTCTTGATCTCCTGACCTCGTGATCTGGCCGTCTCAGCCTCCCAAAGTGCTGGGATTACAGGTGTGAGTCACCGCGCCCGGCTCCAGTTTTGTCATGTCACATAGTGAGCATTAAAATATAAAACTATCAATACTATTAATAAACAGACAATTCCCTTTTTTTTTTTTTTGAGACAGTCTTGCTCTGTCACACAGGCTGGAGTGCAGTGACACGATCTTGGCTTACTGCACCCTCCCGCCTCCAGGTTCAAGCGATTCTCCTGCTTCAGCTTCCCAAGTAGCTGGGATTACAGGCACACGCCAATACGCTCAGCTAATTTTTGGTACTTTTAGTAGAGACGGGGTTTCATCATGTTGGCCAGCTGGTCTTGAACTCCTGGCATCAAGTGATCCACCCCCACTCGGCCTCCCAAAGTGTTGGGATTATAGGCGTGAGTCATCACACCTGGCCACAACTGACTTTTGTAGTAAAGCCAAGATAAATGTAGTTTTTAAATCTGGTTACATAATCAGATCACCTTGCAACCTCTCGATAACACACATGCAGCATAGGTAAAGATTGGCTGTAAGATTTTTTTGCTGTAATCAGTCCTGTATATGGATGCTGAAAATTTGCCACACCCAGAAGAGTTAGCATTATTCTATGAGTTTCAACAAAGAATTCCATGAAAAAGATTCCCTAATCCCTGTTACAGCTTCTGTCCCCTTAATATTCCAGCAGTGGCAGTCAGTTAAAGGTTTCATATATAACAGTTTGTTTTAAAAATGTTCTTACAGTGTTTTCTGCTTAGCTCTACAATTGAACTTTTTGCACTATAATTATTTTGTAATATTGCTTTAAATACAACTAGAAAGAAGAGAGAAAGGAAAGAATGCTATGAGAATGGCAAGAACACATAGCTCAGAAATAGCTTCAGAAATAGCTCACAGTTTCCCAGAATCTTTTGCAGGTGTTTGGAACTCTCCTTCACTCAAAATACAATATTTATCCTCTTAAATTAAAACACAGATGTTTGGGGATTCTTGGATTTCTACTACAACTTTCAGATATTCCAAAAATAATTATAGGCATTATTAGTAACTTTTAAAAACTATTGTGTGTTCAATTATTGTTAGATATTGACAACTCTTGACTAATGAAACACTAAGAATATCGATGTCTGTCTCTAAAAGACTTCTAATTTTTATTTTTTAAAAAATTTTTGTGGGTACTTAGTAGGTGTATACATTTATGGGTTACGTGAGGTGTTTTAATACAGGCATGGAATGTGAAATAAGCACATCATGGAGAATGGTATCCATCCCCTCAAGCATTTATCCTTTGAGTTACTAACAATCCAATTACACTCTTAGTTTTTTCTAAAATGTATAATTAGGTTATTATTGACTATAGTCACCCTACTGTGCTATTGAATAGTAGGTCTTATTCATTCTTTTTTTTTTTTTTTTTTTTTTTTTGTAGCCATTAACGATCCCTACCTCCTCCACATCCCCTTATTACCCTTCCCAGCCTCTGGTAACTATTCTTCTACTGTCTATGTCCATGAGTTCAATTGTTTTGATTTTTAGTTATTTGATGAGATAAATAGTAAATAATCATTTCAAATACGCTGAATTAAGTGATTTAAAACCAAATTGACAGTAGCCAAGAAATCCATATAAAAATGAAAATAGTTGTACACAGCAAATTTTCAGAAGAAGCCTATCATTATAGTAGTCTGTTGAAAGAGGAGAGATACATAATCAAGCTATGGTTTAGATGAAATTAGCTAACTTTATTTTATGGCATGACTCCTAAAATCTCTGGATTTATTTTCTTTTCTTTTTTTATTATATTTTAATATCTAGGGTACATGTGCACAATGTGCAAGTTTGATACATAGGAATATCTATACCATGTTGGTTTGCTGCACCCATCAACTCATCATTTACATTAGGTATTTCTCCTAATGCTATCCCTCCCCCAGCCCCCCAGCCCCCGACAGGCCCCAGTGTGTGATGTTCCCCACCTTGTGTCCAAGTGATCTCAATTCCCACCTATGAGTGAGAACATGCAGTGTTTGGTTTTCTGTCCTTATGATAGTTTGCTCAGAATGATGGTTTCCAGCTTCATCCATGTCCTTGCAAAGGACATGAACTCATCCTTTTTTATGGCTGCATAGTATTTCATAGTGTATATGTGCCACATTTCCTTAATCCAGTCTATCACTGATGGACATGTGGGTTGGTCCCAAGTCTTTGCTATTGTGAATAGTGCCGCAATAAACATATGTGTGCATGTGTCTTTATAGTAGCATGATTTGCAATCCTTTGGGTATATACCCAGTAATGGGATCACTGGGTCAAATGGTAATTATAGTTCTAGATCCTTACGGAATCACCACACCATCTTCCACAAGGGTTAAACTAATTTACACTCCCTCCAACAGTGTAAAAGCATTCCTATTTCTCCACATCCTCTCCAGCATCTGTTGTTTCCTGACTTTTTAATGATTGTCATTCTAACTAGCATGAGATGCTATCTCATTGTGGTTTAGATTTGCGTTTCTCTGATGACCAGTGATGATGAGCATTTTTTCATGTGTCTATTGGCTGCATAGATGTCTTCTTTTGAGAAGCGTCTGTTCATATCCTTTGCCCACTTTTTGATGGGGTTGTTTTTTTCTTGTAAATTTTGTTTGAGTTCTTTGTAGATTCTCGATATTAGCCCTTTGTCAGATGGGTAAATTGTAAAAATTTTCTCCCATTCTGTAGGTTGCCTGTTCACTCTGATGGTAGTTTCTTTTGCCCTGCAGAAGCTCTTTAGTTTAATTAGATCCCATTTGTCTATTTTGGCTTTTGTTGCCATTGCTTTTGGTGTTTTAGTCATGAAGTCCTTACCCATGCCTATTTCCTGCATGGTATTGCCTAGGTTTTCTTCTAGGGTTTTTATGGTTTTAGGCCTAACATGTAAGTCTTTAATGCATCTTGCATTAATTTTTGTATAAGGTGTAAGGAAGGGATCCAGTTTCAGCTTTCTACATATGGCTAGCCAGTTTTCCCAGCACCATTTATTAAATAGGGAATCCTTTCCCCATTGCTTGTATTTGTCAGGTTTGTCAAAGATCAGATGTTTGTAGATGTGTGGCATTATTTCTGAGGCCTCTGTTCTGTTCCATTTTTCTATATCTCTGTTTTGGTACCAGTACCATGCTGTTTTGGTTACTTTTTTGCTCAGGATTTTCTTGGCAATGCGGGCTCTTTTTTGGTTCCCTATGAACTTTGAAGTAGATTTTTCCAATTCTGTGAAGAAAGTCATTGGTAGCTTGATGGGGATCGTATTGAATCTATAAATTACTTTGGGCAGTGTGGCCATTTTCACTATATTGATTCTTCCTATCCATGAGCATGGAATATTCTTCCATTTGTTTGTGCCCTCTTTTACTTTGTTGAGCAGTGCTTTGTAATTCTCCTTGAAGAGGTCCTTTACATCCCTTGTAAGTTGTATTCCTGGGTATTTTATTCTCTTTGTAGCAATTGTGAATGGGAGTTCACTCATGATTTGGCTCTGTTTGTCTGTTAATGGTGTATAGGAATGCTTGTGATTTTTGCATACTGATTTTGTATCCTGAGACTTTGTTGAAGTTGCTAATCAGCTTAAGAAGATTTTGGGCTGAGATGATGGGGTTTTCTAAATATACAATCATGTCATCTGCAAACAGGGACAATTTGACTTCCTCTTTTCCTAATTGAATACCCTTTATTTCTTTCTCTTGCCTGACTGCCCTGGCCAGAATTTCCAACACTATGTTGAATAGGAGTGGTGAGAGAGGGCATCCTTGTCTTGTGCTGGTTTTCAAAGGGAATGCTTCCAGTTTTTGCCCATTCAGTATGATATTGGTTGAATGTTTGTCATAAATAGCTCTTATTATTTTGAGATATGTTCCATCAATACCTAGTTTATTGAGAGTTTTTAGCATGAAGGGCTTTTGAATTTTGTCGAAGGACTTTTCTACATCTATTGAAATAATCATGGGTTTTTGTCGTTGGTTCTGTTTATGTGATGGATTACTTTTGTTGATTTGCATATGTTGAACCAGCCTTGCATCCCAGGGATGAAGCCCACTTGATCATGGTGGATAAGCTTTTTGATGTGCTGCTGGATTCAGTTTGCCAGTATTTTATTGAGGGTTTCTGCATTGATATTCTTCAGGAATATTTGTCTAAAATTCTCTTTTTTTGTTGTGTCTCTGCCAGGCTTTGGTATCAGGATGATGCTGGCCTCATAAAATGAGTTAGGGAGGATTCCCTCTTTTTCTATTGATTGGAATAGTTTCAGAAAGAATGCTACCAACTTCTTTTAGTACCTCTGGTAGAATTCAGCTGGGAATCCTTCTGGTCCTTTACTTTTTTTGGTTGGTAGGCTATGAATTATGGCCTGAATTTCAGAGCCTGTTATTGGTCTATTCAGAGATTCAACTACTTCCTGGTTTAGTTTTGGGAGGGTGTATGTGTCCAGGAATTTGTCCATTTCTTCTAGATTTTCTAGTTTATTTGTATAGAGGTGTTTATAGTATTCTTTGATGGTAGTTTGTATTTCTGTGGGATCAGTGGTGATATCTCCGTTATCATTTTTTACTGCATCTATTTGATTCGTCTCTCTTTTCTTCTTTATTAGTCTTGCTAGCAGTCTATCAGTTTTGTTGATCTTTTCAAAAAACCAGCTCCTGAATTCATGGATTGGTTGGAGGGTTTTTCGTGTCTCTATCTCTTTCAGTTCTGCTCTGATCTTAGTTATTTCTTGCCTTCTGCTAGCTTTTGAATTTGTTTGCTCTTGCTTCTCTAGTTCTTTTAATTGTGATGTTAGTGTGTTGATTTTAGCTCTTTTCTGCTTTCTCTTGTGGTCATTTAGTGCTATAAATTTCCCTCTACACACTGCTTTAAAATGTGTCCCAGAGATTCTCGTATGTTGTGTCTTTGTTCTCATTGGTTTCAAAGAACATCTTTATTTTGTTGTTTACCCAGTAGTCATTCAGGAGCAAGTTGTTCAGTTTCCATGTAGTTGTGTGGTTTTGAGTGAGTTTCTTAATCCTAGGTTCTAATTTGATTGCACTGTGGTCTGAGAGACAGTTTGTTGTGATTTCTGTTCTTTTACATTTGCTGAGGAGTGCTTTACTTCCAATTATGTCGTCAATTTTGAATAAATGTGATGTGGTGCTGAGAAGAATGTATATTCTGTTGATATGGGGTGGAGAGTTGTGTAGGTGTCTATTAGGTCTGCTTGTGGGAGAGCTGAGTTCAGGTCCTGGATATTCTTGTTAACCTTCTGTCTTGCTGATCTGTCTAATATTGACAGTGTGGTGTTAAACTCTCCCATTATTATTGTGTGGGAGTCTAAGTCTCTTTCTTAGGTCTCTCAGAACTTGCTTTATGAATCTGGGTGCTCCTGTTTTGGATGCATATGTATTTAGGATAGTTAGCTCTTCTTGTTGACTTGATCCCTTTACATTATGTAATGGCCTTCTTTGTCTCTTTTGATCTTTGTTGGTTTAAAGTCTGTTTTATCAGAGACTAGGATTGCAACCCCTGCTTTTTTTTTTGCTTTCCATTTGCTGGTAGATCTTCTTTTAACCCTTTATTTTGAGCCTATGTGTGTCTCTGCACGTGAGATGGGTCTCCTGAATACAGCACACCCATGAGTCTTGACTCTTTTTCCAATTTGCCAGTCTGTCTTTTATTTGGGGCATTTAGCCCATTTACATTTAAGGTTAATATTTTTATGTGTGAATTTGATCCTGTCATTATGATGTTAGCTGGTTATTTTGCCTGTTAATTGATGCAGTTTTTTCATAGCATCGATGGTCTTTACAATTTGGCATGCTTTTGCAGTGGCTGGTACTGGTTGTTTCTTTCCATGTTTAGTGCTTCCTTCAAGAGCTCTTGTAAGGCAGGGCTGGTGGTGATGAAATCTCTCAGCATTTCCTTGTCTGTAAAGGATTTTATTTCTCCTTTACTTATGAAGCTTAGTTTGGCTGGATATGAAACTCTGGGTTGAAAATTATTTTCTTTAAGAATGTTGAATGTTGGCCCCCACTCTCTTCGGGCTTGTAGGGTTTCTGCCAAGAGATCCGCTGTTAGTCCCTTTGTGGGTAACTCGACCTTCTCTCTGGCTGCCCTTAACACTTTTTCCTTCATGTCAACATTGGTGAATCTGATAATTATGTGTCTTGTGGTTGCTCTTCTCAAGGAGTATCTTTGTGGTCTCTGTATTTCCCGAATTCGAATGTTGGCCTGCCTTGCTAGGTTGGGGAAATTCTCCTGCATAATATCTTGAAGAGTATTTTCCAACTTGGTTCAATTCTTCCCATCACTCTCAGGTACACCAATCAAACTTAGATTTGGTCTTTTCACATAGTTCCATATTTCTTGGAGGCTTTGTTCGTTTCTTTTTACTTTTTTCTCTAACTTTGTCTTCTCACTTTATTTCATTAATTTGGTTTTCAATCACTGTTATCCTTTCTTCCACTTGATTGAATTGGCTATTGAAGCCTGTGCGTGCGTCACAAAGTTCTCGTTCTTGTGCCGTGGTTTTCAGCTCCGTCAGGTCATTTAAGGTCTTCTCTATACTGTTTATTCTACTTAGCCATTGGTCTATTCTTTTTTCAAGGTTTTTAGCTTCCTTGTGATGGGTTCGAACATCCTCCTTTAGCTTGGTGAAGTTTGTTATTACCGACCTTCTGAAGCCTACTTCTGTCAACTCGTCAAACTCATTCTCCATCCAGCTTTGTTCCATTGCTGGCGAGGAGCTGCTATCCTTTGGAGGAGGAGAGGTGCTCTGATTTTTAGAATTTTCAGCTTTTCTGCTCTAGTTTCTCCCCATCTTTGTGGTTTTATCTACCTTTGGTCTTTGATGTTGGTAACCTACAGATGGGGTTTTTTGTTGATGTTGATGCTACTCCTTTCTGTTTGTTAGTTTTCCTTCTAATGGTAAGGTCCCTCAGCTGTAGGTCTGTTGGAGTTTGCTGGAGTTCCACTGCAGACCCTATTTTCCTGGGTATCACCAGCGGAGGCTCCAGAACAGCAAATATTGCTGCCTGATCCTTCCTCTGGAAGCTTCATCCCAGAGGGGCAGCTGCCTATATGAGGTGTCTGTTGGCCCCTACTGGGAGATGTCTCCCACTTAGGCTACATGGGGGCCAGGGACCCACTTGAGGAGGCAGTCTGTCTGTTCTCAGAGCTCAAACGCTGTGCTGGGAGAACTACTGCCCTCTTCAGATCTGTTAGACAGGGTCTTTTAAGTCTGCAGAAGTTGTCTGCTGCCTTTTGTTCAGCTATGCCCTGCCCACAGAGGTGGAGTCTAGAGGCAGTAGGCCTTGTTGAGCTGTGGTGGGCTCCACCTAGTTTGAGTTTCCGGCTACTTTTTTGACCTACTCAAGCCTCAGCAATGGCGGATGCCCCTCCCCAAGCCAGGCTGCCACCTCGCAGATCGATCTTAGACTGCTGTGCTAGCAGTGAGCAAGGCTCCATGGGTGTGGAGTCCCCTGAGCCAGGCACAGGAGAGAATCACCTTGTCTGCCAGTTGCTAAGACCTTGGGAAAAGCACAGTATTAGGGCATGAGTGCCCTGTTTTTCCAGGTAGTCTGTCACAGCTTCCCTTGGCTAGGAAAGGGAAATCCCCCGACCCCTTGCGCTTCCCGGGTGAGGCGATGCCCTGCCGTGCTTTGGATCACCCTCTGTGGGCTGCATCCACTGTCCAGCCAGTCCCATTGAGAAGAACCAGGTACCTCAGTTGGAAATGCAGAAATCACCCATCTTCTGCGTCGATCATGCTGGGAGCTGCAGACCAGAGCTATTCCTATTTGGCCATCTAGGAATGCCCCCCTGGATTTGTTTTCTTAAAAGTTGATTTCCTTGAAAAAATCAGTTTATATTTCTTTCCAGAAAACACTGCCTATGGTGTTAAGCACAGCAGTAGAATAATAAGGTATTGTCTCCACCTCAAGGAAGTGTTAAAATGTGTCCTTCTTTTAATGCCATTTTCTTTTAGAGAGAAGACCTATTTTAACAATACAAGAATAAAAGCAAAGTAGAACAAAATAACAGAAGGTATATAAGAAACCTTTATTTCAATTTACTGTGTTTTCACAATGAAATAAATAGTACTCAAAAAGTTTCACAGACACATTGATTGCCAGGTTAATTTGGTATCTGCCAGGTTATTTCACTGAATGGTTGTCTTTCTATTTGTAACAAACACAATTTTCTGGGGAGGATCCTTTGAGACTACACAAATATTTTGTTTCTTCTCAGTTTATCCCAGGAATTTTAGCATATATTAGTAGATTTTGCCTGCCACAATTATTACTATGGATTATCATTGATACTTAACTTTTTGTCTTAACACTTACTGTGTGATATGACAAAGCTAAGAACTTTAAGTACATTATCCCATTTAATCCTTACAAAAACATGTTGAAATGAATACTATGATGGCCATTTTTTTAAAATGATGGATTTTACTTAGGGTAAATTTTCCAGGTTTGCACAGCTTATAAGTGTCAGAGCTGATATTTGAGTGAAGACAATATGACTCCAGAGACTGTCCTTTTAATAAGCATAATCTATAGACATCAAAAAAGACCTCAGAACATTTCTATGGGATTTTTTTTGGCCACAAATATTCATAGCCTGATTTTAATTATGAGAAAACATTTGAAAAACTCAAATTGAGAGACACTGTAGAAAATAACTGATGAATACTCTTCAAAAGTATCAAAGTCGTGAAAGAAAAGGAAAGAGCAAAATCACACATTGGAGGAGTGCAAAAAAAAGTAACAACTAGATGTTATATGGTATCTAAGACATGATTCTTGAGCAGAAAAGAACACGTGGAAAAACGTAGTAATAAAAAATAGTTAAAAAACCCATAAAATTTGAATAAATCTGCAGTGTAGTTGATAATATTGTACCAATATTAATTTGCTGGCTTTCGTAATTGTATATATGATGTTTACATTAGGAAAAGTTGACTGAGGGATATACACGAACTCTCTGCACTATTTTTGCAACATGTTAGTAATGACAAACTTAATTTAAAATAAAAAAAGCAAAACATAATTTAATAACTTATAAGTTGATTAGTGGTAAAGTTTTTACTGAAATTGATGTGTCTGTTTTTCTATTCCCCTATGGCATATTACATTTGGATCAAAGTGTATATTATCTGGTTTAGTAAACAAAGCAATAAGTAATTTGCTAGTATTAATTTTATATTATTTTGAAATACTGACAACCTTTTTAAACAAATGCTTTAATCTTAATATTTTAATGATACAAATTAATCCTAAATAGAAAAGAATCTCAAAACAAGTAATGGATTGAATTTAATCAATCAATTGAATTGTACTTTAGAAACACTACCAGCCAAATCTATGTAATCAACAATAAAACTCACATACAAATTTACATTAATTGTTTTCAATAAGAACGAGCCATTGACTATATCCTCTCAAGACAACAAGGCACTTTGGTATTAAAATATAATTTTTTAAAAAGTCACATTCAATCCATTATGACCTAGCAATCCTAACTTGCCACAACCAGATGGGAGAAATTGTGGGAAAATGTCCTATTCCATTAAATCTGTATAAATCCGTGGATTAAGATGAAAGTATACATGGAAGAAAAGGCTTTTTAAAAGAAAAGTCTCTATGAGACATAGCCTGAGGCTTAGAATCTTCTACATTGAGGCTCCAATGACATCCAGGAAATAAAATCCTTCCGAAATAAGAGTCAGATGAATTAACAACAAAAAGTCCATTAGGACACGAATTTGGGCTCAAGTATGTTCAAAACTAATCTAGGCAATAAATATTTTTGAAACCTTTTATGAGCAAGGCATTCTTTTTTGCCTCAACACTGTCAATGATTCATTTCTGCAATCTTGCACAATTAATTACCGTTGGCCCCTAATGCCAAAGATAAACCCTTCTATTAATAATATTAGTTCATTATTACTTTTATCATTTTATTATTTTATGAGTCTGATAAATTATTAATATGTAGAAACTTTTTAAGTTATTGGAAGGAAGGTATAAGTAATTTTTTAGTCGCTGTTCTAAGTAGAAAGAAGCCTTTTTGTTTGTTGGAAAAACAAAAGAAAGATAATATATGCACTACTTTTGAGCTTTGAGAAATAGCCTTTACCAGATAAGAGGGAAATCTGAAAATACTCTTCAGGATAGCAATTTGGAGGGAAGAATTTCCTCATAAGTTTCCTCTTATCAAATAATAAAATGACACAATAAATGAGATGCAAGTATATGGATTCTCTGCTCAGAATTCTTGCCGTTGTTCTGAAAGATTCTGTGTAAGTAAAAACTTGTAAGCTTACAAGTAGAAAACCTTTGTAAGCATTTTTAAAGCCTTCAAACTGTGATAGCACTTGTGAGTTCACAGGCAACACCTTTGTGTACTTTTGTTCCCCCAATAACGTTATTAAAACAGTAAATGAAAAGTTGCAAGAGCGGAAGAATGGTCCTAGAGGACATAGAAAACATGGCCCTTGATAAAAAAAAATTATATATTTTTTAACTAAGAGGCTGATTTCACTCAGGATCTCTAGTGTTGTCACGTTTTTCTCTCTAAGAATGAATCTGATCATGTCAGAGTGAGGCAGAAACAAAACACAGAAATCTCTTGTGAAATTGTGTTTTAAGCCACATTAATTTTCCACTGTGAGGATACTGCTTTAGTAACAGCCAAAGTATACTTATGACTTCTGAAATAAAATAAATAGATCACCAAATCCAAGGAATATATATTTTTGTATATTTCAGTTCAACAGATGACAGTTATTCATCCTGGACAGAGAAGCTGACCCCCTATGACTTCATAAAAACAGAATACGCTGAGTTCCCTTCGAGTTAAATGCTAGCCAACTTCACCAGTAGTTTATTTTCCTCTATTGCAGTAATACTTATCCTGTCCTACATTGTCACAGGAGATTTGGCATTCTACAAGGATCTCTTAACAAAACCCATTTAGTGGGAAAGCTGAATGTCAACATGCACAAACTTGTGAGAGAAATGACTGTTCCTAATAAGTTTCTGTTCTACAGGTGCAAGCAGCTATTCAGTGAGAACTATGATAGCTCAGGTTGCTTGATACATTAGTGAGCTTTCTGGGTCTTGAATGCTGACCCAAGTTTCTGCATCAAAATTGAAATTCAAGTAGGAGATCTACAGGGAAATCACTCAAAAAATTCACAAGGTGAATTTTTCAAAGGAATTTATTTTCTGGTTACAAGCTAACTTATAGCAATTTTTCTCACGATGGAAAGGCCATCTCTCATTAAAAGTGGACCCACCCATTCATTCGTTTTGTATTCTCTTCTTTCTTAACACATTTTCAATAAGATTTACCAATTTATTAATCCATATTGGCAAAAAGGAAAATATCTCTTTGTAAATTCCCAGTTTTAAAATCAGAGTCAGTAACCCAAATATCATGCCCTGGCACAGTCCTGGACAACAGAATGCAGCATATTTGACCTTGTAAGAAATTCAGAATCTCAGGTCCCACTTCATACCTACTGAATCTGCATTTTAGTAAGATCCCTAGGTGATGTATTGTACATTAAATCTTGAAAAGCAGTATCTTGCTTTATTAGGTTGAAATAAGATGTCTGCTTTTCACTTTACAGTTGGTAATAATGATTGTCCTTTGATTCTAATTGAAAATTTTTTATTTATAAGATATATGTATATGTACATCTGTCCTACTGAGGCTTATAATTTAAGACAATACCAGGAAGACATATAAAAATTTAGGCTCCAACCAGATGTGTACAAATTTTACTTTAATCTTCAAAGGTATATAAATATGTAAAAAATTATCAGAGATTCACTTTTGTCTGAAATAAACCTTTCTATTGACGTGTTACATAGTCTCTTCTCTACAAATTGTAACATAGGCAAAATTACATCCTTTATGCTATCACTATAAGTGGTATAATAATAAATAAAACATGGATTCTAAATAACTATTATTTGAATAAATTATTATGCTCAAGTATAACTCTCACTTCCTTAGATCACAAGGTGATGAAATGCCTTTTCCTGTAATTCCCCATTTAGTAGCATTATTATGAACTCCTGGGCCTATCTTTCCCTGGTAGGGTCCTGGTTGTTCATGATTTCTCTTGGAAGGTGATTATCTTTTACCTCTTCCATCGTATGTAGCACTCTATATTCACACTGTAATATATGAAGATGCAGTTGCTACTGTCTTTGCTACTCTTACCAATCAAAAATAAACAAGTATAGTTACTGAGGTTAGACACGGTTTCATCTCTTTTTACACTAACCCATGTATTGCTCATATTCAAGAGGCAAAGGCTGTTCTTCTTAGCAGGCTGATACACTTTGATTCGTCTCCCAAATGAACTACAACACTTTAGTGTTCTAAATGTCTCTCAACGAATTCAAGAATTTGAAACACTCAGCAAAAACATTCAGTCAACAATATGTATATAATAAATACCTATCATTTCTAGAATTGTGTTTAGGTCAGTTTTGGAATATGATATGAGCAAGAAAAGAGTTTCTACTTTCAGAGAGAAAAACAACAAGCATATAAAAGTGACAAGCTGCTGGAAGATGGCAATTAAAAATCAGAAGGAAATATATAAACAAACAGATATGATGAAAGAAACTGAGAGTGGGAGGCTATTTCAGGCTGGAGTGATGATCAAAGTTTCCTAGAGACGATGGTGATGCTTGAAGTCAGACTTGAAGGATAAGAATAGTCTAGCTAGTGAAAATTTCTAAAGGAGATTTAAAACATAGCTGTGATATAGATCATGCATAATCTTAAAGGCCATAGAATATGTTTACTAAAGCACCATGTGGGCCAAAAGGTTTAAAGGGGAAAGGGATATAACCTAATTTTTTTTTTTTAGAATCTGTTTCCTGCAGAGCAATCAGACCGATTATTTTAGAAGGAGGCAAGAAGACTAGTGAAGGAGATACTGTAGTATTACAGTTAAGAGGTGATGGGGTTTGGATGAAGATAATGCCAGTGGGAATGGAGAAACACAAACAGAATTTTATATGGACTATAGATATAGAAATTAGGAAACTTAATGTAGGGGAGGACAAGAAAGAAAGGGAGAAATAAGAAATGGCACACAGGTTTTTAACTTGAGCAACTATATGATTTGTTTTGTAACTTAGTCAATGAGCTCAAAGTAAAAATGGATGAATAAATAAATAAATATAATTATTAATGAAAATGTTAATAAATTTATGAAAGTTTCTCTATACCTAAGAATTAGGGTATATGAATAATGCCTTCACATCACAGAGCCCCACTCAATATTATTATTTTTCTTAAATTCTACCAAGATGAAACCTTGATTCTTTCCAGCTTCTGGATGAGTTACCTCAACCCCCACATCCACACTACCCTCTGAAGCATACACCAAGAAGTTAGCAATATCCTTGTCCTCTTCCTTCATTAATTAATTCCGATATCCTAGCATTTATTCTCCAGGTAGTCACAACTAGTTCCGATAGCCCTGAAGGTAGATATGCTGAGACATTTTCTAGGACACTTATTTCACAAGATACTACCTGAAAAGTTACTTTAAAATATATGAGAAATGTCTCCCAAACTCAAAACAGCAACACATTTTTGGTTCTATGAGCACACACAGAGGTAAAATACTGTCAATCCCTTCCATCTCTCATGCTGAGTGCCCCATATATACTGAAGTGTATTGGTTTCAGATGAAAGGAAAAGCCGTGTGCCGATGACCTGTGGTCTGTAAATAGAATACAAAGGCTTAGTCTTTCCTTGCAGAGAACTTGTGGGAGAAGTGTTGTGGAAAAGCAGTGTGAGATTATGTGAATTATGGCTTTTGAGACACCAAAAAAAAAAAAAAAGTGTCACAATGCTTTTCTCTAAGTACAGGTGTATTTGGCTATCTTTAACTCCTATGATCTTTTAGCCTAGTAATTGTTCCATCTATTTTTGCATATTTGATATTAAAGATTGTTTTATCAATTATACTAACAGTTCTTAAAGTTGAACCCATATAGACAACCATATGATGTATAATTAACTAATGATAATTTACTTCAGAGGATGATTTAATTACTCTTTGATTAGGACATAGATAAATCAGCCATGGAGTTGTCAGAGATTGGAATCAATGACTTAATTTAAACAAAACCAAAATATACTACCTGATACTTATGGTTCCTGGTATATATGTGACCTTCCTAACTCTCTTTTACAATTTGTTTGATTTCCTTATGCTTATTATTTCTTGAAGAAATAATAAGATCCTGGCAGATTTCTGCCTCAGAGGGAAGGAGCCTATCTAGGGATTTCCCACACAGAATGAGCCGTGATTTATTCCTGAGTTTCTTTTGGTCTATGGATTTAAAAAAAAAGTTTCAGAAACCTGAAGCCTGGTTCTAGATCTACTAGAGATTCATCATAGCTAAGAATTGTATTTCCAAACTTTATAATTTAAAACTGTAACTATAATAGAATATTATTTAATAAGTTATCATTAGTAATTTTTATTCTAAGTAACAGATATAAGATACATGTCTTACCTGAAGCATATTTACATGGAGACTCAAGAATCTGTTAGACTGTTAGAAAATACACTGTAAGAGGAGAACACCACAAAGATACTCCTTGAGAAGAGCAATCCCAAGACACATAATCCTCAGATTCACCAAGGTTGAAATGAAGGAAAAAATGTTAAGGGCACCAGAGAGAAAGGTCGGGTTACCCACAAAGGGAAGCCCATCAGACTAACAGCGCATCTCTCAGCAGAAACCCTACAAGCCAGAAGAGAGTGGGGGCCAATATTCAACATTCTTAAAGGAAAGAATTTCAAACCAGAACTTTTTGTCCAGCCAAACTAAGCTTCATAAGTGAAGGAGAAATAAAATCCTTTACAGACAAGGAAATGCTGAGAGATTTTGTCGCCACCAGGCCTGCCCTAAAAGAGCTCCTGAAGGATGCACTAAACATGGAAAGGAACAACTGGTACCAGCCACTGCAGAAACATACCAAATTGTAAAGACCATCGACACTATGAAGTAACTGCATCAACTAACGGACAAAATGACCAGCTAGCATCATAATGATAGGATCAAATTTACATATAACAATACTAACCTTAAATGTAAATGGGCTAAGTGCCCCCAATTAAAAGACACAGACTGGCAAATTGGATAGAGTCAAGACCCATTGGTGAGCTGTATTCAGGAGACCCATCTCACGTGCAAAGACACACACAGGCTCATAATAAAGGGATGGAGGAATATTCATTAAGCAAATGGAAAGTAAAAAAAAGCAGGGGTTGCAATCCTAGTCTCTGATAAAACAGACTTTAAACCAACAAAGATCAAAAGAGACAAAGAAGGCCATTATATAATGGTAAAGGGATCAATGCAACAAGAAGCTAACTATTTTAAATATATATGCACCCAATACAGGAGCACCCAGATTCATGAAGCAAGTTCTTAGAGACCTACAAAGAGACTTAGACTCCCACACAATAATAGTGGGAAAATTTAACACCCCACTGTCAATATTAGATCAATGAGACAGAAAATTAACAAGGATAACCAACTTGAACTCACCTCCAGACCAAGCAGACCTAAGAGACATCTACAGAACTCTCCACCCCAAATCAACAGAATATACATTCTTCTCAGCACCACGTCACACTTATTCTAAAATTGACCATATAATTGGAAATAAAACACTCCTCAGCAAATGCAAAAGAACGGAAATCATAACCAACAATCTCTCAGACCACAATGCAATCAAATTAGAACTCAGGATTAAGAAACTCACTCAAAACTGCACAACTACATGGAAACTGAACAACCTGCTCCTGAATGACTACTGGGTAAATAACAAAATGAAAGCAGAAATAAAGATGTTCTTTGAAACCAATGAGAACAAAGACACAACATACCAGAATCTCTGGGACACGTTTAAAGCAGTGTGTAAAGGGAAATTTATAGCACTAAAAGCCCACAAGAGAAAGCAGGAAAGAGCTAAAATTGACACCCTAATATCACAATTAAAAGAACTAGAGAAGCAAGAACAAACAAATTCAAAAGCTAGCAGAAGGCAAGAAATTGCTAAGATCAGAGGAGAGCTGAAGGAGATAGAGACACACACAAAAAACCTTGAAACAATCTATTAATCCAGGAGCTGTTTTTTTGAAAAGATCAACAAGATAGATAGACCACCAGCCAGACTAATAAAGAAGAAAAGAGAGAAGAATCAAATAGATGCAATAAAAAATGATAAAGGTGATATCTCCACCGATCCCACAGAAATACAAACTACCATCAGAGAATACTATAAACACCTCTACACAAATAAACTAGAAAATCTAGAAGAAATTGATAAATTCCTGGACACATACACCCTCCCGACTAAACCAAGAAGAAGTTGAATCCCTGAATAGACAATAACAAGTTCTGAAATTGAGGCAGCAATTAATAGCCTACCAACCAAAAAAAGTCTGAGACCACATGGATTCACAGCCGAATTCTACCAGAGGTACAAAGAGGAGCTGGTACCATTCCTTCTGAAACTATTCCAATCAATAGAAAAAGAGGGAATCCTCCCTAACTCATTTTATGAGGCCGGCATCATCCTGATACCAAAACCTGGCAGAGGCAGAACAAAAAAAGAAAATTTCAGGCCAATATCCCTGATGAACATCGATGCGGAAATCCTCAATAAAATACTGGTGAACTGAATCCAGCAGCACATTCAAAAGCTTATCCACCACAATCAAGTTGGCTTCATTTCTAGGATGCAAGGCTGGTTCAACATATGCAAATCAATAAACATAATCCATCCCATAAACAGAACCAATGACAAAAACCACATGATTATCTTAATAGATGCAGAAAAGGCCTTCAACAAAATTCAAAAGCCCTTCATGCTAAAAATTCTCAATAAACTAGACATTGATGGAACATATCTGAAAATAATAATTGCTATTTATGACAAACCCACAGCCAATATCATACTGAAGGGGCAAAAACTGGAAGCATTCCCTTTGAAAACCGGCACAATACAAGGATGCCCTCTCTCACCACTCCTATTCAACATAGTATTGGAAATTCTGGCCAGGGCAAAAAGGCAAGGGAAATAAATAAAGGGTATTCAATTAGGAAGAGAGGAAGTTAAATTGTTTCTGTTTGCAGATGACATGATTGTATATTTAGAAAACCCCATCATCTCAGCCCAAAATCTCCTTAAGCTGATAAGCAACTTCAGGAAAGTCTCAGGATACAAAATCAATGTGCAAAAATCACAAGCATTCGTATACACCAATAACGGGCAAACAAAGAGCCAAATCATGAGTGGATTCCCATTCACAATCAATACAAAGAGAATAAAATATCTAGGAATACAACTTACAAGGGATGTGAAGTACCTCTTCAAGGAGAAATAAAAACTACTGCTCAAGGAAATAAGAGAGGACACAAACAAATGGGAAAAACATTCCATGCTCATGGATAGGAGGAATCAATATTGTGAAAATGGCCATACTGCCTAAAGTACTTTATAGATTCAATGCTATGCCAATCAAGCTACCATTGACTTTCTTCACAGAATTGGAAAAAACTACTTTAAAGTTCATATGGAACCAAAAAAGAGCCTGCATAGCCAAGACAATCCTAAGCAAAAAGAAAAAGCTGGAGGCATCACTCTACCTGACTTTAAACTATACTACAAGTCTACAGTAACAAAAACAGCATGATACTGGTACCAAATCAGATATATAGACCAATGGAACAGAGGTCTCAGATATAACGCCACACATCTACAACCATCTGATCTTTGACAAACCTGACACAAACAAGCAATGGGGAAAGGATTCCCAATTTAATAAGTGTTGTTGGGAAAAGTGGCTAGCCATATGCAGAAAGCTGAAACTGGATCCCTTCCTTACACCTTATACAAAAATTAACTCAAGATGGATTAAAGACTTAAACATAAGACATAAAACCATAAAAACCCTAGAAGAAAACCTAGGCAATACCATTCAGGAAATAGGCATGGGCAAAGACTTCATGACTAAAACAGCAAAAGCAATGGCAACAAAAGCCAAAATAGACGAATGGGATCTGATTAAATTAAAGAGCTTCTGCACAGTGAAAGAAACTACCATCAGAGTGAACAGGCAACCTACAGAATGGGAGAAAATTTTTGCAATCTACTCATCTGACAAAGGGCTAATATCCAGAATCTACAAAGAACTTAAACAAATTTACAAGAGAAAAACAAACAACCTCATCAAAAAGTTGGCAGAGGATATGAACAGACACTTCTCAAAAGAAGAAATCTATGCAGCCAACAAACATATGAAAAAATGCTCATCATCACTGGTCATTAGAGAAATGCAAATCAAAACCACAATGAGATACCTTATCATGCCAATTAGAAGGGCGATCATTAAAAAGTCAGGAAACAACAGATGCTAGGGAGGATGTGGAGAAGTAGGAGCACTTTTACACTGTTGGTGGGTGTGTAAATTAGTTCAACCATTGTGGAAGACAGTGTGGCAATTCCTCAAAGATCTAGAACTGGAAATACCATTTAACCCTGCAATCCCATTGCTGTGTATATACCCAAAGGATTATGAATCATTCTACTATGAAGACACATGCACACGTATGTTTATTGTGACACTGTTCACAATAGCAAAGACTTAGATCCAACCCAAATGCTCATTAATGATATACTGGATAAAGAAAATGTGGCACATATATGCCATGGAATACTATGCAGCCATAAAAAATGATGAGTTCATGTCCTTTGCTGGGATATGGATGACGCTGGAAACCATCATTCTCAGAAAACTAACACAAGAACAAAAAACCAAACACCGCATCTTCTCAATCATAAGTGGGAGTTGAACAATGAGAACACATGGACACAGGGAGGGGACCATCACACACCAGGGCTTGTCGGCGGGTAGGGGGCTAGGGGAGAGATAACATTAGGAAAAATACCTAATGTAGATGACAGGTTGATGGGTGCAGCAAACCACCATGGCACATGTATACCTGTGTAACAAACCTGCATGTTCTGCACATGTACCCCAGAACTTAAAATATAATAAAAAATAAAAAAAGAATATAAAAAAGAGTATACATTGTAAGAGAAGAGAAAAATATGACCCATATAGAATCTTAGTTTTTAATGTGGCAGTGGTCACCCAGATTTGTTGCCAAGCCCAAATATCTATGAGCTTATGTTTACCCTTAATTGTTTGAAGAAAAGTTTTGCTAAAAGAAAACTTCTATGGCAATATTAAGGCACGAGTGACACTGTTTGGGTGTCAATTTGGAAAAATAAAATGATAAAATGAAGAGGAACATTTCTTTGTCACAGGTCAAACACACCTGATTTTTATCACCTGGAGGGTTTCAAAAGTGCATCACTCTCTGACACCTGGAGGTTCCAAGCCTCAATTATCTGGCAGCAGTAATGCCTGGAAGAGGAGGTCCCAGGAGTGCTAAACAGGAACAGCAGCAAGGGAGGCCTTGTTGGGAATGGAAATACCTAGGTCAAGTGGATTATGACCAAATTCTTTCTAGTGATAATGATAGGAGAGTGATGAAGTGAGATGAATGAATTTTGACAAGTATGTAACCCAGGTTTCAATTCTATTTATGCACTTATTACATACACTTATATAAGTACATGTAACTTGGTTGAATTATCTTTTCACAATTCAATTTTTTTCAATCCATGAAATAGGAACTATACTGTATACTCCATATATTTGTTATATAAATCAAATTACACAATGAATATTAAAAAAACCAGAATAGTGCCTTGGCAGTTGAATGAGTGAAAAAGAAAGCAGTTCCCCTCTCTCCTTCCCTTCTTCTCTGTATAACTTAGAACCAGAGACAAGAAACGTAAGGCAAGAGAATTTATATTTAAAAAATGAACAAGAGAACAAGCTTTACATGAAAAAAAAGGGGAAGAGAGATGATCGAGAAATGAAAATGAACACACATTATGCTTTCCATAAATAAATTCAGGGGCAAAAAGAGTTAGAGAAGAGGTTAATTGTTTGTGGAGAAAAACAATTTAAATAAGAAAAAATTGCTAAACATAGAAAGGCAATAAAATAATTATTGTGAGAAATTACAATGTACTAAAAAAATCTTGTTTATTATTTTGCTGTGGACATTTAGAAACAATGCATAGGATACTGTCAAGGGAGTTGTATTAAGTCATTTGGCAATTATGTTTTCTTCTCTTTTTTGAGTAAGTCCTCCCTGAGTCTAACATGCATAAGATATTCACCAAAGTTAGACACTGCCTCAGACACTGTCTGTAAAAAAAAAAAATCAGAAGTTTATCTAAAAAATAAAAAGAATAAATGAACATTTATGGTAATTGAAGCCAATCCAAGAAATGACAAGTTATGTATTCCACAAGATTTATAGTGAAGAGTTCTAATTCATATTTTAGAACCCACATAGAAATATGCACACAGAGACACACATTTACACACACAATTCCTGGTGTATCCCAGAGTCATGAATTGATGTAGCACATTGAAATAATGGCAAATTTATCCAAATGGCAGAAATAGACATTAACATTTACATGAAATTCTTATAATTCTTCAAATTACAGATTAGGTTAATTCAGACACTTTATTCCTCCTCGATTGTGGCTTAGCCGCAAAAGTATCAGTATAGATGTTTAAAAACACATTTTTTGAAAGGTCATTGATGACTCATAAGTAAATGTAAGTGTTTTTCTCCTTTTGACGCATCTCATGTGGTGTAAAATTTCTTTTAATCTTTACCTAAAACTCAATTTTTTAATATATTACATATTTGAACTTTAAAAAAATACCAATAGTGTAAAGTTAAAGATAAGTAATGGGCCAGTATAAGTCAAGTTCTACTTTCCTTTTTATTAATAATTATACATTGAATACTTAATTATATTTTATGTTCAATCATACACATCTATATGCAATGATTAAGCTAAAAAGCTGGTTAAAAATGAATAGTGATGCAATTAGAGTACTTCCCATTAGACCAGTCATCTAAGAATATGCAAATATGTGGAGGTATTATGATAGAGTGGGATTTAACAGATAAATTTTGCTTCTTTATACCTGTCAGTGATGAAGATGCGTATTATTTCTCTCCTTTGACCCAATTGTTAGCAGAACATGGAACACAATAGTGTTTTGCAGTGAGTATTGGGCCAGAGACAATAATGTTTCTTTAAAAATCTTAAAGAAAATTAGAAATTAGAAAAAGAAAGGACATACAAGCAGTCATCTTTCAGTTTTGCTCTTAGCACAAAGGCTGTTTTGAAACCCAGAAAACATATTTTTTTTCTTAAATTGAGGATGAATATTTCCACTGTTACTTCAAAGTACCCAGTAACATGGAAGCTTTACAGAAACAAGGCAAAAACTAATTTTCATTTAATTTATTTCAGAGGAAACAGTGCTATATTTGTTTCTGAAATGTATTTGAATGTCTATCTGTAGCCTCACTTCCTGAGCAATGCTAAAATGGAACCATTTTCTATTGGTGGCTGCAGTTACTTCTGGGGTCAGAAGAGTTAAATTCTATGCTGCTAATAGCGTAAATAAATGAAGCAGCACAGGACCTATCTCAGGTTATAATGTTATTTTGGTACTTCTGCCAACTTGACCAACACTGGGAAAACAAAAAGAAAGAGGACTTTTTTGAAGAGGCATGTCCTGTTGAGCAACAGTGCCGCCCCAATGTTGTTTTCCTGCCTTCTTTGTTCTGTTCACCTTGAACAATTATTGCCAGGCACCCCAGTGTTCACCCACTGTTGAAAGTTGCCACTTTTGAAAAGAATGCAGAGTCAGAAAGTTTAGAGGGTTTCCTGAGTTTATGGCTGAATTCCAATATTGCTTTGGCTTCTCTGTTGCTGTAGTTCCCTATGAGGATATTTACTACCAGAATAGCAAATGCATTTAAGTCATTTAGGAAGATTTTTTTTTAAAGGGATTTTAACTGGAGTGGATGAGAAAAAAACAACATATCTAGCAATAAACTTAGTACGGAACTGGAGTGGGGATAAAAGTAAAACCAAAAACATTGCTTTATGCATTGAGGTCAAATAGTTCTCTTTCTGTCAGGTGTGTCCTTGCTTTCCACCTTGTTGAGAAAATTCAAGACATGGTATGCCCACTGCACATCTACCCTCCTACCAGCATCTGTACCTACACACTCTGGCTTCCCTTCTGTTATCAACTGTAAATATTATTCTAGATAAATTTTCCACTTAGATATTCTCTTATACTGAATGATGTTGACCATGGATTCCTCTGTCTTATTTAAGGATGTCACTCCAACAGTTATCCATTCCATTGTGTTGGAAACCGCTTCTGACACAAAAATTTGTATATAAACAGAGAAGATTAGTTTAGTGTGTGTATATATCTATAAATATATCTATATCTATATCTGTATAGATATATAGACATCCTTGATTGCTCGTACATATGTGCTGACTGCTAACCCAATCTTTGCAACAGAACACTTCTAGCTTCATAATTTTATTGCCTGCTTCTGTATTGCCTGTCTTGTCATTTCTAAAAGATATAAAAAATCTTGACTATCTTGTTAAGTCAACAAAGCACATTTAAATTATCTTTATAATCAGAAATTTCAGTCCTTCTGTAAATGAGAGAGAGAGACTCTGAATATTCCTAACCTTTCAAAGTCAATGTGTTTATGTCATTTCTGAAGATAACTATTATTCCCCAAGCCTGTGGTGTTTTCATTGAAAGAGATTACTTTCCCTTGCACAGCTGAGTCCAAATGCTTTTCATTTGGAAATGAATGGCCCACTCATTTGAATGTTTTATTATGTCAATATCCTATAATTATGCTTTAATTAAATAATGGCACAAGGTACATACCAAGTGAAAATGTTAAGGACTCTCAATATACAAATGAATTATAGGATGGTAGTATGTGAAATGGTTTCTAGAGAAGAGAATGCATAAGGAAATATTTCAGAAAAGTAAAGTTTTTTTTCCTTAATTCTGGTATTTTCTAAGATAAATGAATACAAGCTAACATCTGGGAACATTAATTCAATGCCTTTTAGTCCAAGGCTGCCAATTCTACCTGAGAAACTTTTTTTATAATGTCAAAATGATACTGCTTTCAGATTTTTCTTCTGTTGTTTTTGATGAGTATCTGGGCTGCTACTGCTCAAAATTTTTATTGTGTTTATGTGGTGTGAGTCACTGAGGATTCCCTTTCGCTGAACATCCAACTTCTGTTTACTTCAGTCCTCCCTTGTTAGCTTGTCAATATTAATTAATTAATTAAAAATGAGAAACACTTGTATTATTGTGTCCAACGTACTTCCCTATTCTGTTTCAGCAACATGTGAAAATTCTTTTAGACAGTCAGGAAGGAAGAAAATAGCTGTCTTTTCCAATATATTGAACACAATGCCTAAGAAGCATTTTAGCTTTTATTAAAAGGAAATAAACTGAAGAGTATGTTCCACATTTCCAGCAACACTAAAGGTGTTGGAAGAGTTTCTACTTTTTTCAGCCCCCGAGCTGAGATAATCGCTTCTCTCAGCTCACCCACTGCCCAGGACCAGAATGGTTTCTCCATCAATTGTGAGTCCAAGGACCTTGCTGCTTAGTCCCTTCACTGGGTCCACTGTGGGTATCTGTGTGAACACCTTCAGAATCAAGAAATGTCAGAATCAAGGATTTCTGAGACCGTAATATTTCTAAGACGTAGTATAGCTCTTTACTCTGTTGTACTTTTTTTTTTTCTGGAAATAGAAAAGTTTTTATTTTCTTAATATATTTTTGTGCGTTTGGTGAGAGAATGTAAAAACTATATTCAAAAAGAAATAAAGTATAAATTTGCATAAAATTAATTCCATGGAAGGCTTAATTTTGTCTCTCACAGTTTAAGTGATTTTTTTTTCCAGCAGTTTTCTGGTTAGTTGAACCAAATGAAGCTACCATAACAACTGTGGTTATTACCACCGATATAATGGTGGTACCAATATAAAGGTACAATGAACAACATGTTCATTTTACAAAAACGAAAAATTCACAATGTGAAAACCAAGTCTCCTTCATACTTTGTTTAAAGTACAAACAAATCTAGTTGCCAGGTGCCCTAGTGACCCTAGGACTTGTCAGAGCCCTTGAGATCAGGGGATCCTTCTGAGCCCAGTTGTTTAAGTTATCTTCTTCCAGGACCCTGAGAGTTCCACCCCCATATTTCATACTTGAAAGGCTCCTCTTCCAGCCATCCGGACCCATTTCTAGATACATCTGTGGTTATCAGCTTCTTTTATAGCATTCGGAGATATTCAATGCTGCTACAAGAATTTACAAATGTATCCCTTTTACTTTACACAAATAATCTGTTTGTACTTTGATTTAACAATATTTCTTGGGGGATTTTTCCATTACAACGTACATAGAGCTATCTCATTCTTTTAGGCCGTTAGCAGTGATCAATTTTACGATATATAAAGGTTATTTTAATAATCCCCTGTTACTAGACAGTTAGGTAATTTTCAGTCTTTTCCTTACTCTGTTGTACTTTATGACACTTAAACATTTTTTGAGAATTTACCCCAGCCATCTAGTTAGAGATTTTTCAGCTGCATGTTTTCAGAAAAGTTGTTCCTCTGTTATAAAATTGTCAAAGCTGAAAGCTTTTCCTCTAGGCTTATCTCATTAAAACCTCATTGTTGGGAGGAAATGGAGCTCCACACTAAGCAGCCTAACATGCAAAATTTTGAATGTCAAGAAAACACACACTAGCATATATTCTATAGGAGGAGTGGTGAAAATAAACTACAATTCATTGGTTACGTAATAGGTGCCATGCATCTGCTATTTGCTTTAAGTATAGTATTCTTACATTCACAACATTTCTGCAAGGTAGTTATTATTATTTCTACTTGGCAGTCAATAGAATTGAGGCTCACAGGGTTTAATTATTTAGCCAAGCTCACACAGCCAGTACCTTTCAAAAGCTGGCTCCTAATGTAAATTTTTCTGACTCTTCACAAAAGCACATTGTCATTGTCTAAGGGTCACTAATTATATTATCACATCTTCCTTCTGACCCTGAAAATTTTACCTGAGTTATTTAATCTTTCTGATTCTCTGGTAATTTTTTCTGTAAAAGGAAAATAATAGTCTCTATCCACCTCAATGAACTCAAGTGAAGATGAAATAGGATAACATATATAAACAGCTTTGTAAATTATAATTCACTATAATAGCTAAAGAAATCTCAATAGTATTAACTATGATACTTTGAATAACAATTATTATCTCTCAAAAGACTGGGGCAATGAAAGTAAGAGAGGTCATAAATAAATCCAAATCACATTCAGTGCAAATGTGGTCAAAACATGGTACAAAAGCTATTTAATGATATATTTGCTTAAAATTTTACCCTATATTTAGAAACACCTTTATAGAAACAATTTCTGCAGATATTATCAAGAAAAGAAAATTTCAAGAGATAATATCAAGAAAATTTTTTAAATTTCTGATTTTTTTTTTAATTTCAAAATGAAGCAGTTATGGAACACCACAAATAACACAAATTTCTTGATAAACAATGAACAAAATTACTGTTATCTTGCTAAAGTAGACCATTTCCCCCCCATATTTTTGAATGGAACTTGGTTTAGCTCCATCTGTGTCTTTCTCTCATTCTTTCTTCCCCTGATTTCTCCACCCAAACCTCAAACATCTGTAACCGATGCTATTTAAAACCCTAAGTTCTGTACCACTCCCACCCTTCATCCCACTCAAGTCCTTGAATGGCTGTAGACAGAAGGACATTAGCATTGTTCCTGAGGACTGCAAATCTGATTAAAACTATATGGTATCAACAGTTATCCTCAGCAAACTAACGCAGGAACAGAAAAGCAAACACCAGATACTCTCACTTACAGGTGGAAGCTGAATAATGAGAATACATAGAGACATGGTGGGACAACACACACTGGGGCCTGTTGGGGAGGGTGGGGGTGGGAGGCAGGAGAGCATCAGGAAAAATAGCTGATGAATGCTGAGCTTAATACCTAGATGATTGGTTGATCTGTGCAGCAAACCACCATGGCACACCTTTACCTATGTAACAAGCCTGAACATCCTGCTCATGTACCCTGGAACTTAAAAGTTGAAGGCAAAAAAACCCACTATGTAGTATCTAATCTAGAGTACCTGTCCTCTTTAACTTGTGAACATATTTGCAGTTGTTGAATGGGAGACAACTTTGGGTACAGAGACATGTTACAGAGTGAACTTTACTGTTTTTGTTATATTCTGCCTCATAACTCAATCTACATATCATAGGTGAAGCTACAGTTCGAGCACCTTTTGTGTGTGTGTGTGTAGGGGGGATTATTTGCCTCCAGTTATCTTTTTAAAATTTTTTGAAAATTATTTTAAACAAATTTTGAGGGTACATAATAGGTGTGTATATTTATGAGGTACATGAGATGTTTTGACACAGGCACGCAATGTGAAATAAGCACACATCATGGAGAATGGAGTATTTGTCTTCTCAAGCATTAATCCTTTGAGTTAAAACAATTCAATTACATCCCTTAAGCTATGTTAAAACATACAATTACATTATTATTGACTATAGTTACCTTATTATGCTATCAAATAGTAGGTCTCTTCTTTTTCACTGTCTTTCTCTTTTTCTTTCTTTCCTCACACACACTCTCTCTCAATAGAGAAATAGAGAGATTAGATAAATACAGATTTATGCATATAGATATATAGATATGAAGCACACATACATACACATTTCTCTCACCCCAACTATAATAACAATAAGTATGTTGGTTTACAATGATAACTTTTCTCTTTCTTGAGCCTAGTTTCAAAGTAATTTTACTTCAATCTCATATGGCACAGGACAGTTAAACAGTGATAATGGGAGAAATGGGTAAAAGAAGTATGAGGAACAGATACTCAGAGTCAGAATTAGATAGAAGTGAAGCATTATGGAGCATTAGAGATAGAGGGATTGTAAGTCAAAATCTATGACATTCTTAGCCCCCACGCCTGACACATCACACCACTCCTCTAAAAGATCAAGACATTGTAAACATGAACTAATATAACTATATTCTGACATAGCTAGAAACTGAAACTGCACCCTTCAATAACTCACTGGGTTGCCCTCTCTAGTGCCTTGATATTTCTGTTTTATAAGGCTTTGGTATCACATAGGTAACTAACTGTAGTCTCTTATATATGGTATCTAAGGCAGATTTGTTGATACAGTCTACACATTTTATAAAGTTATGCATTCTTGGAAACATAAAATTCTAGACAGTGACATGTTTGTAAAGTAAAAAAAAAAGTAAGAATTTCATTGAAACAGATTTGTGAGTCAAGAAGGAGTTGGTCACACAACCTGGTGAGACACATTTTAAAAGCCTAGAGTAAAGAAAAAAGAAGTTCAGGCCGGGTGCAGTGGCTCACGCCTGTAATCCCAGCACTTTGGGAAGCCGAGGTTGGTGGATCACGAGGTCAGGAGTTCAAGACCAGCCTGGCCAAGATGGTGAAACCCCATCTCTACTAAAAATACCAAACTTAGCCAGGCATGATGGAGGGTGCCTATAATCCCAGCTACTCGGGAGACTGAGGCAGAGAATTGCTTGAACCTGGGAGGCGGAGGTTGCAGTGAGCTGAGATGGCGCCACTGCATTCCAGCCTGGGGGACAGAGGGAGACTCCATCTCAACAAAAAAAAAAAAGTTCAAGAGATCTACAGGTTGCTTCAAGTGCTAGGTAGAAAGGTGGAATGGCTACATGGCTACATGTGTGTATTGTAGAAAAATATTATGTAGAGAAAAATATGTCATAAAGTCAATAACATGAATGTGATCTTAAGTCATTATGAATCACTACTTAGGGGAAGAACCTCATCTTCAAATACCCCAATCCAAAGTCACCTTTTGGTTTTTTTTAACTATACCATAATACATGTGTTTTGTGATGCAGAAACAGAAGTAAAATGAGTTTCATAGTTTAATTTCTTATTTTGCTATTTTAGCTTTTTTGGAACTGGTGATGGTTAATACTGTGTGTCAATTTGATTGGATTGAAGGATGCAATATTGATCCTGGGTGTGTCTGTGAGGGTGTTGCCAAAAGAGATTAACATTTGAGTCAGTGGCCTGGGAAAAGCAGATTCACCCTTAATCTTATGGGCACCATCTAATCAGCTGCCAGCAAATATAAAGCAGGCAGAAAAACATGAAGAGGAGAGATGGGCCTAGCCTCCCAGTCTACAGACTGATATCCTTGATGAACACAGATGCTAAAATCCTTAACAAAATACTGGTTAACCTAATTCAACAATGTATCAGAAAAATAGTCCACCATGATCAAGTGGGTTTCATACCAGGGATACAGGGATGGTTTAACATACTCAAGTCAATAAATGTCATACACCACAAAAACAGAATTAAAAACAAAAATCACGTGATCATCTCAATAGATGCAGAAAAAGCATTTGAAAAAATCCAGCATCCCTTTATGATTAAAACTCACAGCAAAATCAGCATACAAGGCACATACCTCAATGAAATAAAAATCATCTATGACAAACCCACAGCCAACAGAATACTGAATGGGGAAATGTTGAAATAATTCCCTCCAGAACTGGAACAAGACAAGGATGCGCACTCTCAGACTTCTCTTCAACATAGTACTGGAAATCCTAGCCAGAGCAATCAGACAAGAGAAAGAAATAAAGGGCATCCAAATTCGTAAGGAGGAAGTCAAACTGTCACTGTTTGCTCACAATATGATTGGTTACCTCAGAAATCCTGAAGCCTCTTCCAGAAAGCTCCTAGAATTGATAAAAGAATTCAGCAGTGTTTCTGGATACAGATTAATGTACACAAATCACTAACTCTTCTATACACAAACAGCAACTAAGCAGAGTATCAAATCAAGAACTCAACCCCTTTTACAATAGCTGCAAACAAAACAAAACAAAACAAAACAAAACAAAACAAAACAAAAACCAACTTAGGAATATACCTAACCAACGAGGCAAAAGACCTCTACATGGAAAACTACAAAACACTGCTGATAAAAATCTAGATGACACAAACAAAAGGAAACACAACCCTTGCTCATAAACGGGTAGAATCAATATTGTGGAAATGACCTTACTGCCAAAAGCAATCTACAAATTCAGTGCAATCCCCATCAAAGTACCATCATCATTCTTCACAGAATTAGGAAAAACAATTCTAAAATTCATAAAAAAACAAAAAAGAGCCCACATAACCAAAGCAAGACTAAGCAAAAAGAACAAATCTGCAGGTATCAACACTACCTGATTTCAAACTATACTCTAAGGCCATAGTCACCAAAACAGCATGATACTGGTATAAAAATAGGTACATAGACCAATGGAACTGAATGGAGAACCCAGAAATAAACCCAAATACTTACAGCCAACTAATCTTCAACAAAGCAAACAAAAACATAAAATGGGGAAAGGACACCCTTTTCAACAAATTGTGCTGGGATAATTGGCTAGCCACATGTAGGAGAATGAAGCTGGATCCTCATCTCTCACCTCATACAAAAATCAACTCAAGATTGATTAAGGACTTAAATCTAAGACCTGAAACTATAAAAATTTTAGAAGACAACATTGGAAAACCCCTCTTGACTTTGGCTTAGGCAAGGGTTTCATGACCAAGAACCAGAAAGCAAACGCAATAAAAACAAAGATAAATAGCTGGGACTTAAATAAATTAAAGAGTAGGGTAAACAGACAACCCACAGAGTAGGGGAAAGTCTTTACTGCCTATCATCCAACAAAGGACTAATATCCAGAATCTACAATGAACTCAAATAAATAAGCAAGAAAAAAACAAACAATCCCATCAAAAAGTAGGCTAAGGACATGAATAGACAATTCTCAAAAGAGGACATACAAATCACCAACAAAAATGTGAAAAAATGCTCAACATCACTAATGACCAGGGAAATGCAAATCAAAACCACAGTGTGATACCACCTTATTCCTGCAAGAATGACCGTGATCAAAAAATAAAAAAACACTAGATGTTGGCATGGATGTGGTGATCAGCTAATACTTCTATACTGCTGATGGGAATGTAAACTAACACAACCACTATGGAAAACAGTGTGGAGATGCCTTAAAGAACTAAAAGTAGAACTACCATTTGATCCAGCAATCCCACTACTGGGTATCTAACCAGAGGAAAAGAAGTCATTATATGAAAAAGATACTTGCACACACATAATCACAGCAGCACAATTTGCAATTGCAAAAATATGGAACCAGCCCAAATGCCCATCAATCAATGGTGGATAAGGAAACTGTGATATACATACACACACACACACACACACACACACACACACACACACATATATATATATCACAGTTTATATATATATATATATATATATATATATATATATATATATACATCACATATATATCTATATATATGATGGAATACTACTCAGCCATCAAAAGGAATGAATTAGCAGCGTTTGCAGTGACCTGGATGAGATTGGAGACTATTATTCTAAGTGAAGTAACTCAAGAAGGGAAAACCAAACACTGCATGTTCTCACTGATATGTGGGAGCTAAGCTATGAGGACACAAAGGCAGAAGAATGATACAATGGACTTTAGGGACTTAGAGGGAAGGATAATACCTATTGTGTTTGTTAATAATCATAATTAGTAGTAGTATCATTACTATTACTATTATTATTGAAGCTATTGCTCCAACTATTATATTAATAATAAACAACAGAATGGTATGCACATGAAGTAAATACCTTAAAGTAAGCTTCATAGTTTTTAGCTATGAAAATTTGAAGAAGCTATTTAGTCTCTCTTCATTTTATTTCCCTATCATTACAAAAATATTTACAATGCTCTCCACATAGGTTCTGTCTCAGTTCGGATTTTTCTAGTTGTAATATTTATTTCAGTACAAATAGTTAATTTTTCGGGGAAAAGTATCAGAAACACCACAAAGGAAGAAAACCATACAAGGAAAGGAAGGCTGCTTATAAGAATTGCAATATCAAATCAGTGGTTTGATACTCCTGCAGTGGGCTTAGTCCTGCAGGGAAATGTTTGTAAATATGATAATATGAGGAGAGAGCCAGGCATAGTGGTGCATGCCTGTAGTCCCAACTACTTGGAATGCAAGAGGATTGCTTGAGATTAGGGAATCGAGTCCACCCTAGGCAAATTAACTCTCCCACCCCACATGTTACATATATATATATATACACATACATTTATGTATTCATTTATATATATATATATATCTCCATACATATATGTGTGTGTGTTTTGTGTGTGTGTATGTGTGTGTTTATGATAGAAGCAGAGGTAGAAATGATGTGGACATGAGTCAAGGAATGTGGGCAACCTCTAGAAGCAAGAAAAAACAAGGAAATAATTCTCCTTCAGAGCAATCAGAAGAGATGTAGCTCTACTAACACCTTGAATCGAGTTCAGTAAGACCTGTTTGGACTTCTGAATTCCAGAATTGTAAGATAATCAGTGTGTGCTTTTTTTTTTTTTTTTTTAGCTACTTACTATGCTTTTTAGTTCCAGCAGCAACAGAAACTAGTACAGATTTTGTGAAAAAAGTAAACCTTGCAATTATACCACCTGGAGAACAGGGAGCTGACATATTTCTATACCATCTCCCAAGTGTTTTCAGTTTTAGATCTACTCCTTTTAGCTTTCAATCCGTTAAAATAAGGAGAAATAACTGCCTTTCCTGGTTATGGAATGAAAGCTTCAGGCATAGATATGCAGAAACTGGCAACTGGCAGTTAACCAAGAAAAGCCTAGTGGATGATTTAGGGCAGGCATTGACAATCTGATACAAGAGTTAAATGAGATTATGTAAATGAGTATCTTTTTCCATGTCCCAAACAGCATGAGAAATGTTACCTTTCTTTTTTCTTTCTTTCCTATTCTGTCAAACTCATATTTTTCCTTCAAATCCAGTTCAAATATCAACTGTTTTCTGAAATTTTCCTATCGATAGCAGGCAGAATTGACTTTGCTGAACTATGTGCATCCTTCATAGAAATATAGCTACATTTTGTTTTCATAATTCATTTGCATGCTTATCATTGCCACTAAATTATAAGTTCTTGAGAACAAAGACCTTGTTTAATTGTTTTATTCTTTTGAAACTCCCATGTATAATAGTGTGTGTAATGGTTAGGATCACAAGAAACATTTGTAGAATGAATGAACTTTATGTTCAAAACTTGGCTGTCATCTCAGATGGAGATTACATTTCATAGTTATTTCACACCTGCAGAATTATGTAGGCCTTTATATCATCTTTCTGAGGAGTCTAGATAATTGTTTTATTTCATGTCAGCAACTTCACTAAGAAACATCCCCCAAAATGGAGGTGACTTTAGTGGTCCAACATCGTTTCCATTAAAGACCTATTCCCATTAGTCTCACTATACTTCCTGCCACTGCAAGATTACACTGGGTAATAGCAACCAAAATAATCGAATTAGTGTTTGAGAGGATTTTTAAAAAAATCCTGAACATCTATAAAAATTGAGGATCTCTATGGATCTGTATTTATTTATGAGAGAAAATACTGAGCTGTTACAACCAGTCAGGCTAGCAGAATGCAAGAAAGTATATATTTTATTCTTTGTTTCCACAACATTTATAACTTCTACAAAGCAGAGAACAGCTGTTACACTGGCGATGTGCAGTATATTTTGGGCAAGTAGGGCAGCAGGGTGACTAATGTGCACTGTAATAGCATTATAAGTGACTCACTGGAGTGCAATTATCAGTATAGTTGCCACATGCTTGGTTTATGATTAGGTTAATCAGTTCCTTAGCCGATTTCACTCTGTGTCTTCCTCTGGTAAATTTAAACACTTTATTCTCTTGCCTGGAAACCTAGCCATAGACTTTATTTGTGGTTTTCCCCTGGTTAAATTTCATGTCACTTTCTCTGCAAGTTGCTATTTTCCTTGGGTCATATTTAACCCCACAGACCAGTTTGCAAACTAAACCACTGTGCAAAAGTTAAACAATGCAGAATTCTCAAGGCATCACGCATCTTAGCAACCAGGAGTCCCTCAAGGGAGCATGCTGTATTTCTTTATTGCCTTTCTTACTCTCGTTATTTATTGCCATTGAGACACACTGGAAGGAGATGGTGTTAATTCTTCACATTAGAATGGGCATCACATAGGCAATGTATGGTGCCCCTCAATTTGCAAATGGCCAGAAGAGAATAGATTTGGGATCACCCCATGAGTTAGGGCCTAATATTATAAAGGCAATCAAGACAATGCTTTCAAGTTTTATTTCTTTAATCTTCCTATTTCTATTTAGAAGCAAACTCTAATTTTCTTCTTCTTTCAGCACAGTTCTGATTATTTCACTCCCTTACTCAAAAATCTTTAATAAGTTTATATTTTACTACAGTCAATCTTAGTTTTATTATGATGGTAATCATGGCAGACAGACACTAGGGTGTACCTTACTTTATCTCTACCAATTGGTGCTCATGCATGTATTATTCCCTTCTCTTAAATGTGAGCAGCATCTGTAACTTGCTCCCAAACAGTGGTATATGTCAAAGATCATGACCAGTTATTTTCACGATTATGTAATGTTTTGCTAGCATAATTACTCTAGAGATTCTTTCTGGTGTCTAATGAAGTAAATGGTCATAGTATGAACACCCATAGAGAAAGGACTTGTGGTGGGTCTCTAGAAGTTAAGGGTGGGCACTAGGAGCTCAGGGTGACTTCTAGCCAATAGTCAGCAAAAGCAACTGATGTTCAGTTTTAAGAGCTGTAAGAAACTGAATAGTACCAACAACTATGTGAGCGGGACACTGAGTTCTTCCCCAGTTGAGCCTCCAGATAAGAATGCAACTGACTGAAGCCTTGAACATGGCTGTTGAGACCCTCGACAGATAAGTCAACCAAGCTGTGCCCAGGCTCCTGACCCACAGAAATTGTGAGACAATAAATGTGTGTTGTCTTAAACACTAAAGTTGTGATAATTTATTACACAGCCATAGAGAATGAATACAGCAATCAATGGCTTCTATAATTTAGTAAACATTTTTAGCTTCTTTCTACATTCACATGTATATTGTAAATTCCTGTGACACAGACTATTCTCTAAATAGTCATACTTCTTATCTTCAAAATGTGGATATTAAATAACTCACTGGTGTATGATTATCTTCACTGTAATGGAGGATAATGAAATGTTAACAAAGTTTTTGTGATTATTAAGTTACAAAACGCATGGAAGCACCTATTACAATTTTTGAAACATTCTAGACATTCAGTAAATACTAATTTCCCTTCCTTTTCACTTTTTTTTCCTTTTACACATAGTCTTTTTTATCCCTAGCCTCTATGCCTTTGATCATGCTGGCCCCTCTTTCCAGAATGCCCTTCTCTTTCATGTCCACGAATACCCTCTCTAACTGAAAGTCCAGATCAGGGTTAACTTCTCTACAAAATACTTATCTAAGTGAATTTTAATTTAACTGTATCTTTTTTTATTTACTACTTAATAAAAATATAAAGTCTGCAATTAAGGTATAAACAAGCATAATTATGCTTCTAAAGGAGAGAGAATATGTTTATAAAAACAGTTGAATGTCTATCAAAATTATATTTACATGCTAAGTGTTTATGGAATATGATCTTTCTGTTCTCCTCTGTCATCTAACCTCATCAGTGCAGGTAAGACATTGGGAAGAGGTCTTGGAGATGTGTGAAACTTCTGTCACATGACACTTCTGTTCCCTCCAAATGCTCAACCTCCACGTGCAGCTCCTGCTTTTCTTTTCTTTATAACTCTCATGGGTTTTTTGTGGGGTGTTTTTTGTTGTTACTACATCATAACAATGCAGCATGGATGGATGAAGAAGCCTGTTTATTAATTGATTTTTTAAAAAGAAACATGAAGACATAAACAATACCAGGCAGGATTGTTGACTGGTGAGGGAAAGAGTGAAGAATATTTTTGTTTTCATCCAATCATAATATTCTTACTATAGAAACTCACAAAGCCTATAATAGCTCTTCTCATGACTATACTTTACATACATTGCTTTATTTCGTGTGATTTGCATGAGTTTTTTCATCTGTACAATAGGCAAAGTCAAGCTTGTTTAGTTTATTCCTTCTGGAAGAAAAATAGGACAAAAATATCGTTCATGGAATCAAAACGTCTCATTTAATAAAAGTAGAAATACCAGTTTCTTGACCCTTATCAAGCCTTTTTGTTGCCCCCTGTGGCTGTTGCCTTTAGAACTTGATAAGGCTTTGACATTTAAAATGATCATATTAAACATTTTCCCCTTTATCCCTCAAATGTACCCAGCTATTAGTTTTTCATGAGATTCCGGTAATGTAGCTAGTAAAGTAGTAGTTGCATTAAGAGACATTAGTTTTGGAGAGGAAAAAATACTCTAATTTTATTTAAACTAATTAACTTTTAAAGAATCATTTTATTTGTTTAGGTAATTTTCCTTGTGGTACAATCTGTTGCATATTGGCTAAGTGCACTTTATTTCATAAATTTTGCACATACGTATGCACTAAATTGAGTGGCTGTCTCAGAGACAGGTGTGAAGATGTTCCACTGTCTGTTCGGTTGTTCCCTGGGGATTTTTGTAATATTGCCATAATTCTGTAGCCTCTAATCTTTTTATTTATCTCCTCTTCTTTTTGTAAATATATAAATAACTCAATCACAATATTTTTAATAAATGTTATCCTGACTTTTGGCTGCTGCAGCTATGACTTGTCTAGATGCATTTATATCTTAGAATATGAACACACTTGAAATATTAAATAAAAATTTAAAAAATAAGGTTCAGTCTTGTTCAAAGGAATGTAAGATGTAGTCTGGTAAAATGTCTAACACTATTCTATTCTTGAATTTATGGGTTGAAACCAACCAATAAGATAAACTTAAAATTTCCCTTATCTATTTCAGCTCATTCAGTGGGAGGCATGCTTTCATTCTGAGTTAATTTAGAGAACATTTGGCACATTTATTTATAATTAAATACAATTAGAGGTATTATCTTCTGTGTAAAAAGCACATGCAATATACTACTATGTTATTTGACAACAGATTTCAACAAACAGAAAATTTCTGAGGAATGAAATGTTAACAAAGATGTCCTTCCGATTTTTAACTAAAGTAGCCTGTATTTCTCAGAAGGATCTGCCTTTTTCCCGTACTGTGTCCTATATCTGCCATCATTAACTACAATGCCATATCCATAACACCAAAAGTTTTGTTTAAATCATCCCACTCAATAAATTAAAAAAATAAGCTTCACTATCAGAAAAATATTCATTGAGCTACTCTGTTATAAAATCTAAGAACAAGAGAGAAGTCCACAATCTATAAGGCCACAGTAAGAGAGCTATTTTAGATAATGGAAAGCTGGAAATACTTGCCTGCCTTATGACTTCTGTTCTTTTTCAGACTGTCTTCAAATATTTGAACTACTGAAATAAGGAATATGTTTATTTTGTATGTCCAAAAAGAAGAAAAGTAGGATAAATAGAGAAAGGGAGACCAGTTTTAATATATTAGCAGATTTCCTGTAGGGTGGCTATTGTCAATAAGCATGGACAAGCAGAGTTTAGGAAAAATGTCATAGAGGTGACTCAAGTACCAGATGAAATGTTATGCCAGGTAACCTTTAAAGCTCCTTTAGAACTTAAGATCCTCGCATTAAAATTATTGAAAAGCCTTCAGTTTTCAAAGACTAATCTGGTTACTGAATGGTTTCAGAATAGCCTTACTGTCTTTATTAATCATGTACATTGTAATTTTAGATTTTTTACTGACAATATTATTTTATATCATTAATGAATACCATGGTAGATTACAATGTCTATAACAAGAATCAGTGATCCCCAACATGATGAGAGAGTACTATGCCTCATGGTCCACCACTTATTAGATACGTTCTTAAATAAAAGCCAGTCACTATCATTGTCCTAAAGAAATAAGCATATAACCCACATGAAGCATGTATGATTTTTAATTTTAGCCTAAAGAATTGCTTCTTTCCTCTAATTAATGTGTCTTTTGCTGACTCTAAGCTTTTGCCATATGCCTTCTGAACAGGTAAAACATATGATTAAAATGACTTTTACATTATGTTTAATTTACCCATATCTTGTAAATAGGGAAGAATTTTTAATTACAGTTATATCAGTCAAGGTTCTCCAGAGAAACAGACATATAGGATATATATGTCTATATACAGATACATTTATTTAAGGAATTGGCTCATGTGATTATAGAGGCTGGTGAACCCAAAATCTGCAGGGTGATCTGGCACTTCCTGGAATAGCTGATGTGTTTCAAGTCCGAAGGTCATCTGTTGGAGAATTTCTGCTTGCTAGAAGATCAGTTTTCTGTTCCATTCAGACTTTCAACGAATTGGATTAAATTATACTTGTCTGCATTATGGAGAGCAATCTTTCTTACTCAAATTCCATGATTCAAATGTTCATCTCATCCAAAAAACAACCTTACAGAAAAATCTGAACCATGGCTCAGGAAAATTGACACATAAAATTATGTGAAAAATGTATTCATTGCGGTCTCCCTCTCTATGTTTCTTTGTCCTGGAAAATGATCCCTCAGAATTTCTTTCCTCTCCTTTCCTTGGACTATGTTACTTATAAGATTAGCATAATATAAACTATAATTCTGGGTTTTGTTTCATGAAAGTTTCCACTGACTTGTCACTGTTTTCTTAAGACAACTTTGCACATTGTAATTGTTGGATAAAAAGCTGTATACATCTATCAGAAACCAACTTAAAAAAAAGAAACCAGGTGATTTTGTAATCTTATCTAGGCAGTTGCATTTTTTAGACGTGTGCTATTCAAAGTGTCATCTGCAGATCAGTAAGTTTGGGAAGCGCAGGTTTAGACCTCTTATGCTGCCATTTACAGTAAAGATTTTAAATCTTATATCGTTTTGTTGCCTAATTATTTCTATATTTTATTTTGGTTGCATGAAATTTCTGAAATCCCATTTCATACATAAATATTTACAACTAGTAGTTTTTCTTTTTTTAAAAAAATTTATGCATAATAGGTGTACCTAGTTTCAAAGTATATGTGATAAATTAATACATTCATATAATTTGTAAAGATCAAATTAGTGTACCTCTTGGGGTATCCATTACCTTAAATATCTGTGTTTTCTTTTTTTTTTTTTTTTTTTTTTTTTTGAGACGGAGTCTCGCTCTGTCACCGAGGCTAGAGTGCAGTGGCGCAATCTTGGCTCACTGCAAGCTCCACCTCCCCGGTTCACGCCATTCTTCTGCCTCAGCCTCCCGAGTAGCTGGGCCCACAGGTGCCTGCCACCACACCTGGCTAATTTTTTGTATTTTTAGTAGAGACAGGGTTTCACCATGTTAGCCAGGATGGTATCGATCTCCTGACCTTGTGGTCTGCCCGCCTCGGCCTCCCAAAGTGCTGGGATTACAGGCGTGAGCCACCGCGTCCGTCCCTGTGTTTTCTTAATGCTAGAAATATTCAAATTATTTCCTTCTAGCTAGTTTGAAATGTAAACTACAGATTAGAGTTTACAATAATCCTATGCTACTGCTCTAACACTAGATGTGTCTCAATGTTGTGTTTAGTTTGTTCTTGATCTTCTAGTCCTTTGAGGTATATCATTAGGTTGTGTATTTGAAGTCTACTTTTTTGATGCAGGTGTTTATTGCCATAAACTTCCCTCTTAGTACTGCTTTTGCTGTATCCTACAGATTTTGGTATGCGTTATTTCCGTATTTTTTTTTTAAGAAATTTTTTAACTGTCTTAATTTTTTTTATTCCCCATTGTTTGTTCAGGAGAGTGCTGTTTAATTTCCATGTGTTCATGAAGTCCGAGGTTCCTCCTGTTATTCATTTCTAATGTTATTCAATTGTAGTCAAAAAGTTACTTGGTATGGTTTCTACTTTTAAAAATGTATTCAGACTTGTTTTATGGCCTAAGATATGATCTACATTGTAGAATGTTCCATGTGCTGATGAAAAGAGTGTGTATTCTGCAGCAGTTGAGTGAAATGGTCTGTAAATGTCAGTTAAGCCTATTAGGTCTAGCATATAGTTGAACTTTAATTTTTCTTTGCTAATTTTCTGTCTAGGTGATCTGTTCATTACAAAGAGTGGGGAGTTAAAGTACCCTACTATTATTGTATTGCACTCTGACTCTTTCTTTTGCTCTTTTAATGTTTGCTTTATATACTTGAGAGCTCCTGTGTTGGATTCGTAGATATTTATAATTGACGTCTTTATCATTATAAAGTGACCTTCTTAGTCTCTTTTTATGGTCTTTGATTGTAGCCTTTTTTGTCTAAAATAAGTATAGCTACTTCTGCTCCTTTTTGGCTTCTAGTTGCATATAATACCTTTTCTCATCCCTTCACTATCAATCTACTTGTGTTTTTATAACTGAAGTGAGTATTCTTTAGGCAGTAAATAGTTGGGTCTTGTTTCTTTATTTATTCAGCCATTCTATGCCTTTTCATTGGAGCATTGAGTCCATTTACATTTAGTGTTACTATTGATAAGTAATGACTTACTACTGTCATTTGTTGTTTGTTTTCTGGTTGTTTTGTATCTCATTTCTTTTTGTCTTGTTTTTTGGTAAAGTAATTTTCTCTGGTAGTATGTTTTTATTTTTCTCTGGTCATTGCTTTTTATTTTTAGTGAATCTGTTACAGGTTTTTGCATGGTGGCTACCATAAGGCTTACAAAAAGACCCCTAAAGATAAAACACATTATTTTAAATAAGTGGTAACTTGTCTTGGATTACAAAGAATATAAAAAACAAAACTAAGGGAAAAAAATTTGCACTATAATTTTATTCCCCCACATTTTGACTTTTAATTTTCTCAATTTACACATTTTTATATCACCTATCTCTTAAAATGTTGCTGTAGCTATTATTACTTTTGATAGGTTTGTCTTTTGAGCTTCATACTAGAGATACAAGTGTTACTAGTGGATTGCACACCATAATTACAGTATTAGAGTATTCTGGATTTGTCTATGTACTTAATTTACCAGTAGTTTTTACACCTTAAATGTTTTGTGTGTTTTCTTCACATTGTTGTTTCTTTTCACGAGATTGAAGAACTCCCTTTAACATTTTATAAATGGATCTAGTGGTGGTTAATTCTCTCAGCTTTTGCTTGCCTGGAAAAGACTATCTTTCCTTCATATTTCAAGGATAACTTTGCTAGATACAGCATTCTTGGGTGGTGTTTTTTGTTTGTTTGTTTTTCTTTCAGCACTTTGAAAATTTTGTACCACTCCCTCCTGGCCTGTATGGTTTCCATTGAGAAGCCTGTTGCCAGAATTGGAGCTCCTTTACATGTTATTTGCTTCTTTTCTCTTATTGTTTTTAGGGTCCTCTTTGAGAGTTTGATTATTGTGTGCATTGTGGTAGTCTTCTTTGGGTCAAATCTGTTTGGAATTCTCTGGTCTTCTTGTTCCTGGATAGTTATATCTTTCTCAAGTTTTGGAAAGGTTTTGTTATTGTTTCTTTGAATAATAGTTCTACCTCTTGGTCTTGCTCAACTCCCTCTTGAATGCCAATAATTCTTAGATCTGGTCTTTTGAGATAACTTTCCATATCTTGTCGGTAATATTTGCTTCTTTTTAGTCTTTTATTTTTTTCTCCTTTGACTATGTATTTTAAAATAGTCTGTCTTTGAGCTCACTGATGTTTTTTCTTTGCTTGATCCATTATGCTATGAGAGTAAGGAATTTTTGAGTTCAGCAAATGCATTTCTCAGTTATAATATTTGTTTGATTTTTAAAATTATTTTAATCTCTTTGTTAAATTTATCTGATAAATTTCTGAATTGCTTTCCACTGTTACCTTGAAGATCACTGAGTTTCCTTCACACAGCAGTACTGTATTTTTGATCAGAGAACTCACAAATCAGTCACGTTTTTTTGCTTTGTCCATTTGGAGAGCTCAGGGTTCTCGGCTTGCTGTCATTTCTTGTTGATGTATTACTAAGTCTTTTCTTGAAGAATTAGTTACTTACTCCAGTCTCCTCTGTCTGGCTTTTTTTTTTTTTTTTTAATGGATATATTTGCTTAGAGTTTCTTTACTGTTAGGTGGTTGCCTCCTTTCTAGCTCTAGTGTCTTAAGCCCAGGTTCACCTTGGCTGTAGTAAATAATCAAAGCACTGCCCTTCCCAAATGGGGAAGGTGCCAAAAAAATATCCTAGCAGTATGGAAAGGCTGGCTTGGGGTTCTTTTCCAGGGACCTGTGGAATGAACCTCCTATAGCATAGTGTGGCTGAACAGTCTCCTTTGGCTGAGTTACAAAGCAGAGTTTTCAGGGCTGGAAAGGTAGTCTTGCCTCCTCCTTTTTCTCTGCTTGTTCTCAGGGGTATTTCTTTTCATAAGCACTTATAATACTTCCTGTGAGTTGAGGCAAGGACAGGTCTCCTGCTAGGAGACATGGGATGGTGGGGAAGCTGGCTGTCTCACTTTTTTCAGTGTACAAATCATGAGTTGGTAGAAAATTTTCTGTGCACTTAGTGTCAGGCAGAATGGGAAGAGGGGTGTTGCAGATGTGAAAATCCATTTCTCTTACTATCTGCTAAGAGTTTTTTCACTTCTTGATGGCCTCAGAAAGTGTCTCATTTTCATATTTGAATTATGAAATATTGATGGTAATAATCTTGGTGTTTATTTGACTTTGGTTTTCTGTGGTAGGGAATGAAGTCAGTTTGCTTCTATGCTGCCATTTTGGAACTGAAGGTTGAGTAGTATGATTTTTGACATTGACAGGTCATATTACAATATCAGCATTTAATTAAACTGATTTGGAAGGTTGTAGGATAATTAGAAATATATATACTTTAAAATTAAATCATTAAGTATATTTTATAATTATTCCAATTTCTTAGATGTTAAATGACCACTTTGGAAGGTGTTAGTGAGCACTTTCCTTAGTAATGTGTCTTTATTACTTTGCAGAAAATAATTTTCCAATGGATATTTTAGTATTATAAAATATTCAATAATCTTATTTTTAAAATCTTAACTACCTTATTATTTATCTTTGGGAGATGTTATTAAAAAGTTAAAAGTTGGACACAATATGTAAAATAAAATTAATTCAAACAGTTTCTTTCTTGTCCCATTCCAAATATTCATGCCAGCACATTCTTTTGGGTAGCAAATAAATTTGTCAATTCTAGACTCCTTTTCTATTACAAACATTTTTGAAGTTTTTGTTAATTAATGATTTGTCTTAAATATTTATCAGCACCACTATAAAAGTTCTTGTATCATTTTAACAGCCAAGGTTCTTGCCCAAATATTGATTAAGTCACATTTTTGTGTGCAACTTTTATAGTAATCACCACTCCTTCTCCAAAACTTCTGTTTCTTTTCTTTTCTTTCTTTTTTTTTTTTGAGACGGAGTCTCGCTCTGTGGCCCAGGCTGGAGTGCAGTAGACCAATCTGGGTTCACTGCAAGCTCCGCCTCCCTCTTTCACGCCATTCTCCTGCCTCAGCCTCCGGAGTAGCTGGGACTACAGGCACCCGCCACCACGCCTGGCTAATTTTTTGTATTTTTAGTAGAGACGGGGTTTCACCATGTTAGCCAGGATGGTCTCGATCTCCTGACCTCGTCATCTGCCACCCTCGACCTCCCAAAGTGCTGGGATTACAGGAGTGAGCCACCGCACCCGTCCCCAAAACTTCTTTTTCTAGCCATTGCTTTTGCGACAAAAATTTTAACAAATTTTGGCAACTTATTTATTTTATGACTATTTTTTAGACCTATATGTGTCAAGTGTCCTGCATAGTAGTGAATCTTCCTTGCATTTCCTTGTCTTAACATAAAGTGAAAATGCATGCAACATTAGAAGAACTAAAATATCTACATCATTCATTTTCAATCTTGGCTGCATTGTAGAGTCATCTTGGGAGCTTTAAAAAATATAGATGCTGAGGTCCTAACTAGAGGTTCACATTTAGTTGGTGGGATAAGTTCTAGGTGTCAGTATTTTTAAACGCTTCCCTAGATAATTCTTTCAACTTGGATTGTGAATGACAATGTACAGTCAAATCAACTGTAAAAATTTCTTAGGTTCTCAGCTTTCAAACTAAATCAACAGTTAGATACACATTCTAAAATTATTCATTATGAACGTTATTTCAGACATTTATACTGATTTTATTTTATTAACTGTATACTCCATTAATATATTTCCTTCAATACTTAATAAGCTCTTCAATATACACTGAGAAAAATAAGCTGAGAGTTTTGTTTTTGTACTCATTGTATTTGAATTAAAATTTCCTTGTAGATTGTGCATGATTTGGTAGGTTTGACACATTTTCAAAGCAAGAAACACATTAGATTGTTGGAAAATTTAAATACCCATGAAATTGAATCCAGATACAAATAAACATCGTTATAATATATTGACATAGCATAACTCAGTAAAAATTCTGGGCAAGTAGTTTTCATTTTTGTACAGTGCTTTCAGTGTGGTAAGCAACAGTGAATAAATTGGTTCGTAATACTACAGTATCAGATGACTTTTTTTTAACTTGATTAATCTTACCCTATTCGATGTCATTTTTTCCTTTTATATTGGCTAATGTTTAGCTGGAAATCCCATTCTAATTTGTAGGTAGTTTTACATCTTGTTAACCCATAAAAATTTATTTATAAAGAAAGAAAAGTTTTGAAAGTTTACCATGAATCCACAAATTGTATAATAACATTCTCCTAAATATAAGTCAGGCAGGAAGCATCATGAACTTCCAATAAGTGCTATAGCTCATATTTATATTACCATATTATCATGATTTATATTACATAACATTACTATGCAACTTTTAATTTTGCTTATTTTGAGTTTACAATATACAGCCTATCTTGTTTTCAAATTATTTGATATAAATTTCAGACACTCAAGGACACTAAGAAAACATATTTTGTCTCATCCATAAATATTCAAAATGTAAATTTTGCTTTACAAAGTAAAGAAGTAGGAAGAGAAAAGTTCCAAGAAAATGCGTGATCTTCTTATTTCAATAGTTTTTATTTAAGTATTTTTACTTCAATAGTTTTTGGGGTACAGGTAATCTTTGGTTAAATGTGTAAGTTCTTTAGTAGTGATTGGGGTTTTGTTGCACCCATCACCTGAGCAGTGTACACTGTATTCAATGTGTAGTCCTTTATCCCTCACCCCCTTCCCAAACTTCTCCCTGTCCTTGAGTCTCCAAAGTCTATTAAATCATTCTCATACCTTTGCATCCTCATAGCTTAGTTCTCCCTTATAAGTGAGAACCTATGATATTTGGTTTTCCATTCCTGAGTTACCTCACTTAGAATAATGGCCTCCAGCTCCATCCAAGTTGCTGGAAAAGACATTATTTCATTTCTTTTTATGGCTGAGTAGTATTCCATGGTATATATATTACCACATTTTTTCGGGGGGCAGTGAGGAAAGCAGTGTTTATTGAGTGACCACAACATGCCAGGCACTGTATGATTACAGTCTCATTTTATCATTTCATAAGTTCTAAGAATTTTTACTCTTGTATCCTTTCCATTTAAAAGATTTTTTGAAATGAGATTCCAAGAGATAATAATATTCAAGCTGACAGACCTACTGAGTTTAGTTCACAGTCGGGAATTTGAAAAGGACAAATAGTTATAAAAAAGAATATAGGAATTACTTACAACTCCATTCAAAACAACCACTATAATTATTTAATGTAACTCCTCACAGCAATTTTTTTTTCCATGTAAAACTCCTTTGGATTCAAGGCTGCTTTGTGGTCTCTCATAGAGTTTAGGGTCCAGAATGGGTCCCTTGCTCTGAGATCCGAAGACCCCCAGGAACTAATGCCACTGCCTCCAGCTTTTTTTTTTTAAAGTTCAGAGGTACATGTGCAGGATGTGCAGGTTTGTTACATAGGTAAATGTGTGCCATGGTGATTTGCTGCACAGATCAACCCATCACCTAGGTATTAAGCCCAGCATCCATTAGTATTCTTCCTGATGCTCTCCCTCTTCCTTGACTCCCAAGCTCCAACAGACCTCAATGTATGTTTTTCCCCACTATGAGTCCATGTGTTCTCATCTTTCAGCTCTCACTTGTAAGTGAGAACATGTGGTATTTGGTTTTCTGTTCCTGCATTAGTTTGTTGCAGATAATGGCCTTTAGCTCCCTCTATGTCCCTGCAAAGGACATGATCTCTTTCCTTTTTATGACTGCATAGTGTATATGTACCATATTTTATTTATCCAGTCTATTGTTGATGGCCATTTAGGTTGATTTCATGTCATTGCTATTGTGAATAGTGCTGCAATGAACATATGTGTGCATGTGTCTTTATCACAGAATGATTTACATCTGTTTGGGTAGATACCCAGTAATTGGATTGCTGGGTCAAATGGTATTTCTGTCCCTAGGTATTTGAGGAATCTCTACACTGTCTTCCACAATGGTTAAACTAGTTTACGCTCCCAGTAGAAAAGCTTTCCTTTTTCTCGATAACCTCATCAGTATTTGTTGTTTTTTGACTTTTTAATAATCATCATTCTGACTGGTGTGAGATAGTATTTCAATGTGGTTTTGATTTGCATTTCTCTAATGACCAGTGATGTTGAGCTTTTATTCATATATTTGATTGGCCGTAAGTATGTCTTTTAAAAAGTGTCTGTTCATGTCCTTTGCCCACTTTTTAATGGGGTTGTTTGTTTTCTTGTACATTTGTTTAAGTTCCTTGTAGCTGCTGAATATTAGACCTTTGTCAGGTGGATAGATTGCAAAATTTTCTCCCATTCTGTAGGTTGTCTGTTCACTCTGATGATAGTTTCTTTTGCTGCACAGCGATGTTTTAGTTTAATTAGATTCCATTTGTCAATTTTTGCTTTTGTTGCAATTGCTTTTGGCATTTTTGTCATAAAATCTTTGCCTGTGCCTATGTCCTGAATGGTATTGCCTAGATTTTCTTCTAGAGTTTTTAGAATTTTGAGTTTTATATTTAAGAGTTTAATCCATCTTGAGTTGATTTTTTGTATATGGTGGTAAGGAAAGGGTCCAGTTTCAATTTTCTGCATATGGCTAGCTGGTTCTCCCTGCACCATTTATTAAACAGGGAATTATTTCTCCATTGCTTGTTTTGGTCAGGTTTGTCAAAGATCAAATTGTTGTAGGTGTATAATCTTATTTCTGGGTTCTCTATTCTGTTCCATTGGTCTATGTGTCTGTTCTTGTGCCAGTACCATGCTGTTTTGGTTACTGTAGCATTGTAGTATAGTTTGAAGTCAGTAGAGTGATGCCTCCAGCTTTGTTCTTTCTACTTAGAATTGTCTTAGCTATTTAGCCTCTTTTTTGGTTTCATATGAATTTTAAAATAGATGTTTTTCTAATTCTGTGAAGAACGCCAATGTTAGTTTAATGGGACTAGCATCGAATCTATAAATTGCTTTGGGCACCATGGCCATTTTCACAATATTTATTCTTCCTATCCATGAGCATGGAATGGTTTTCCATTTGTTTGTGTCATCTCTGATTTCTTTGAGCAGTGGTTTGTAGTTCTCCTTGAAGAGGTCCTTAATTTTCCTTGTTAGCTGTATTCCTAAGTATTTTATTCTTTTTGTGCCAATTGTGAATGGGTGTTTATTTGTGATTTGGCTCTCAGCTAACCTGTTTTTCATATATAGGAATGCTAGGGATTTTTGCACATTTGTTTTGTATCCTGAGACTTTGCATAAGTTGCTAATCAGCTTAAGAAGCTTTTAGGCTGAGATTATGGGATTTTCTAGATATAGGATTGTGTCATCTGCAAACAAAGATAGTTTCACTTCCTCTCTCCCTATTTGAATACCCTTTATTTTTCTGTTTCCTGATTGCCCTGGCCAGAACTTCCAATACTGTGTTGAATAGAAGAAGTGAGAGAAGGCATCCCTGTCTTGTGCCAGTTTTCAAGGGGAGTGCTTCCAGCTTTTGCCCGTTCAGTATGATATTGGCCATGGGTTTGTCATAAATGACTTATTATTTTGAGGTATGTTCCTTCAATACCTAGTTTATTGAGAGTTGTTAACATGAAGGAACGTTGGGTTTTATTGAAGGCCTTTTCTGCATCTATTGAGATAATTATCTGGTTTCTGTCTTTAGTTCTGTTTATGTGATGGATCACATTTATTGATTTGCATATTTTGAACTAACCTTGCATCCCAGGGATGAAGCCTACTTGATCATTGTTGATAAGCTCTTTGATGTGTGTCTGTATTTGGTTGGCCAGTATTTTGTTGAAGATTTTTGCATCGATGTTCATCAAGGATATTGACCTGAAATTTTCTTTTTTGTGTTGTGTCTCTGCCAGGTTTTTGTATCAGAATAATGCTGGCCTCATAGAATGAGTTAGGGAGCAGTACCACCTTTTCTATTTTTTGGAATAGTTTCAGTAGAATTGGTACCAGCTCTTCTTTGTATCTCTGGCAGAATTCGGCTGTGAATCTGTCTGGTCCTGGGCTTTTTTTGGTTGGTAGGCTATTTATTTCTGCCTCAGTTTCTGAACTTGTTGTTTGTCTACTCAGGGATTCAATTTCTTCCTGGCTCAGTCTTGGGAGGGTGCATGTGTCCAGAAATTTGTCCATTTCTTCTAGATTTTCCATTTTAGATTCTAGATAATCTTCTAGATTATCCATTTCTTCCTAGTTTATGTGCATGGAGATGTTTATAGTATTGTCTGATAGTTGTTTGCATTTCTGTGGGGTCAGTGGTGCTATCCCCCTTATTTCTGATTGTGTTTATTTGAATCATCACTGTTTACTTTATTAGTCTAGTTAGAAGTCTATCGATTTTATTAAATTTTTCAAATAATCAGTGCCTGGATTCATTGATTTTCTGATGGGTTTTTCATGTCTCTATCTCCTTCAGTTCAGCTCTGATCTTGGTTATCTCTTGTCTTCTGCTGGCTTTGGGTTTTTTTTTTCTTTTGCCTTGAATCTCTAGTTGTTTTATTTGTGATGTGAAGTTGTTAAGTTGAGATCTTTCTAGCTTTCTGATGTAGGCATTTAGTGCTATAAATTTTCCTCTTAACACTGCTTTAGCTGCATCCCAGAGATGCTGGTACACTATACTTTTGTTCTCATTAGTTTCAAAGAACTTCTTGATTTCTACCTTATTTACATTATTTATCCAAGAGTCATTCAGGAGCAGGTTGTTCAGTTTCCATGTAGTCGTGTGTATAACACATTTCCTTTTATACTTGGTCGACAGCACTTATGTTAGTTTCATATTTTTGCAATTGTGAATTGTGCTGCTATAAACATGTGTGTGCATGGGTCTTTTTCATGTAATGACTTCATTTTCTCTGGGTAGATACCCAGTAGTGGGATTGCTAGGTTGAATAATACTTCTACTTTTAGGGTTTTTAAGGAATCTCCATACTGTTTTCCATTGTGGTTGTATTAATTTACATTGCCACCAAGAGTGTAAACGTGCTCTTAAGCACAGTCCTTAAGTAATTTTGTTGGCCTGCATATTTCAGGCATCCTATTTAATTCTAAAGTTGGTTATGTTTTCTTCTCCTGAAATATCTCATTCGAGTTTTCCTTCTCCTTCAAGCCATTTGTTATAATCTAATGAGTTTCTCAAAAATTAAGGAAAATGGAAGTCATTAAAGGCTTGTAGTAAAGGCCAGACCAAACCTATGTCTTCAGCAACATCATCATCTTAGGAAGTCTCAGTTTTCAGATCACTGGCTGATCCCAGTATGTTCTGGTGTCACATTTTAGTAACAAAATTAATTTTAAAATGTAATAGAAATAATATTTTTTATCAACGAAGTATAGGTTACCCTTCCACTTAGCTTTTACATATGATTGACTTTACATGCCAACATCCAGCATGTACAGTGGTTTATGTTGTCCTCTCCATGTATGACCCTCCATATAGTTATTCTCTTCAACAACCTGAATTGTCATGCATAGTGGCTCCTCCTCAGCCTTCCTCAGGTATAGAGGGAGAAATTCTCCAATCTTTATAACATGTCTGGTATTTCATAGATAATATATTAAGCTCCTCTGGTGTTTTTCACATAATCCTCCCAACAATAAAACAGTCTTATTATTGCTGCTTTGTGAACGCTAAGACCCAGACAACTGTGTTCAACAACACTGTAAAATGATTATAAAAATTCACATTTTATAAAAGCTAAAACCTGAAGACAACTAGAATGTTGGTATTTGGGGATCCATCTGGGTGATTCCAAAGCTTGCAACTCTACCAGTACTCTTGATGCCTTCCTTCATAGAATGTTGAATGTTATCATCAAGAGGTGCAATGGGACAAAAGAGAAGCCTCACTTTGTGTAATGATCTTTGGCTTCTAAAGCTTGGCTAAAACTAAAAACCATAAATAACTCCTCATATGCAAACCATATCTGAGACAACACATTAGATTTTCTAAAAGTAAAAGAAAAAAACACATTATGAAAGCCAACTGCATCCTGAAGCAAAAAGTATTGTGAGGATTTTGCCATACAATTTTGCCAGACTTTTTTTAACCTTGTTATTTTGACTAATGTATTTCCTCCTTGCTTCTATTACCAGAATTACCGACATTGTGCTCTAAAATTTGTTTTTTTTTTCTAACATAGGAAAATAATAATATCTTAACTACTTGAGAGGCTTAGAATTAAACTACTATTATATTGCTTCATTAAGTACAGGAAAAGTTCAGGGGAAAATGGAAAGTAAGAAATTTTGATGGTAATAAAAATTCACCTGCTTGGAACTAGACAGTTTTAAGAAATTCTGTTTTAAAAATACATAAACAAGAGAATTTTTGAGGATTGCTTAATGAGTGTTAACTCTTCTGAACCTCTAAGTGGAGACTTCATTCACCTGAATGGCCTTTAGATTCCTAGAAAAAAAGTAAAATGGCAAAAGGGAGACAGAGAGAGAGAGACAGATCAAACCACACATTTGGTATGCAATGCTGGCAAAAAAAAAATGCTTAAATCCACGTGGATAATGTGAACATGGAGTGGGGTATCACAATCATTTGCAACTACCTCTGCCTTGTGTCCATTAGATGTCTTTATATCTTCATGATTAATAGCAACCACTAAGTTGCTATTAATTTAAGTATACTTAATTTACTTAAGTATACGTAAAAAGTACTTAAATTAAGTATTTTTACTCAGTTAATGGGACACACTATAGTCATCATATTATTCTTCACCACCCAGATTTCACTTACCCACAGCCAGAATATCAGCTGATCAAGGTTATTTGCTTGGAGTGGGGAGTGGTGTGTGGTGGGGGGCACTGGTGATTCATACTTTTATTACTGTGTGCCTGATTTTTGATTGCCTTGATCTTGCCAGACTATGTTGATACAATTGCAAATTTGCTTTTGTCACTGATAATAGAACACCAAAGATTACATGGGTGATGCTACTGATTTATAAAAATACACTCTTCCTTATCTCTATCGTGTAAGAACAATATTGACTTATTTGCCTACTGTCCACTGGTGTGAATAAGTAACCAGATAGTGGTTGAAGCTTTAGATTCACTGAAACTCTTTTTTTAAATTATTTTATTATTATTATATTTTAAGTTTTAGGGTACATGTGCACAACGTGCAGGTTTGTTACATATGTATACATGTGCCATGTTGGTATGCTGCACCCATTAACTCATCATTTAGCATTAGGTTTATCTCCTAATGCTATCCCTCCCCCCTTCCCCCACCCCACAACAGTCCTAAATCATGCTGCTATAAAGACACATGCACACGTATGTTTATTGTGGCACTATTCACAATAGCAAAGACTTGGAACCAACCCAAATGTCCAACAATGATAGACTGGAGTAAGAAAATGTGGCACATATACACCGTGGAATACTATGCAGCCATAAAAAATGATGAGTTCATGTCCTTCGTAAGGACATGGATGAAGCTGGAAACCATCATTCTCAGCAAACTATCACAAGGACAAAAAACCAAACACTGCATGTTCTCACTCATAGGTGGGAACTGAACAATGAGAACACATGGACACAGGAAGGGGAACATCAGATTCACTGAAACTCTTGATGGTATCATGTCACAACACTATAACTTGTATACCTGGAAAGACCACTTATCTAATATTCTAGAGTTGTAGGGAAGAGAAGCTTGGATTATAAAGTAGGTTCCAGAAAGTGATGGGGAAAAGGGTCAATCTAATTTTCACTTCTTGTTTTGTAGACTTAGCATGTTTTCTTTTATTTTGATTTTTATGTTTTCTGAGATGGAGTCTCCCTTTATCACCCAGGCTAGAGTACAATGGCATGATCTTGGCTCACTGCAACCTCCGCCTCCCGGGTTCAAGTGATTCTCCTGCCTCAGCCTCCCGAGAAGCTGGGATTACAGGTGTACACCACCACGCCTGGCTAATTTTTGTATTTTTAGTTGAGATGGGGTTTCACCATGTTGGCCAGACTGGTCTAGAACTCTTGAGCTGAAGATATCTGCCTGCTTCAGCCTCCCAAAGTGCTGGGATTACAGGCGTGAGCCACTGTGCCCAGCCAGCGTAGTTTACCTATTAAAGCAAAAGTTTCATCTTGTTTAAGAATATCTCAAACCTGTAGTTAATGACCCTTTTCCTACACCTTAGCTAAGCCTTTACCAGGCCATGCCAAGGTTCTATCAATCTATCTTTTTCCAGATGATGTAATATATGTTTGATTGTAACAATGGATCCTGTGTCAATTGTTACAACTCCTTTATTACAAATTGAGTTTCCTGGTGGATGATTATGTTACACGGAATCCTATGTTGGTAATTCAGACACTGCATAAGCTCTCAGATAGTGGTGGCAGCAAAGGCATAATGGACTAAAGAGCAGATTAATATTTGGAATATTAGTCTATGTCAATAAGAACAACCCAGTGGTTCCTTTAAGGATGGAGGAGGTTTGATATAACTGACTTGCCAACAAGGGGCTGGCTGGTCTCCTTAAGGAATAGCACCGCATTGTGGGTTTAGTGACTGCACTAACAAGTAGGGTACTCAGCTATATTTCCACTGACTGGTCTCAGTGAAAGGCCCATGGATTGTCTATTTCTAGCACCATAGCTGGGATATTCATGAGCCTATTGAGCAAGTAGGGATTATGGGTGGGTGTGAAGGCAGAGGCTAGCTAATATTCACTGTCAAGTGATTCTCTCCAACTGGTGGCTGAGACCCTCTTCTACCATGGCTTCTCTGATAGTCACTGACATGAGACACAAAGACTTTTGTTCCCATTTCCAGAGGTTCATATTCATGCTTCTGCCTCAGATTTTCTTGTCCTTAATTTTCCAATATTGCTACTTTGAGATCTCAATTCAACAATTCAAAACACTTGTCATGACCCAGGAGTATTACATACACACATGCGCACACATATATATTTATAAAGAGAGAGAAAGAGAATTTTACTTGAGTCTACTTTTCGTAGACATAATGAACAAATACACTGATCTACTTCCTGAGAAAAGTTTTCCTCATTGCTATCCTCAAAATATCTATCTATCACAGGTGAAATTGTGTGAAACAGAAGTATGTTTTTATTCACACAAACATTAGAGATGATGCATTTATGAACCAGGACAGAGTTTTATTCTTCTCTGTCCATTGATTGAAGATACCTTACCCACCATCTTATGAAGCTGTAAGTGTGAGCTGAAAGAGTTTATAATGCAACAATGATAACAACATGATTGGTTTGGGCCAAGTATTTATGTTATATACTTCTAGCTTCTAGACCTGCATAGGGGCCATATCAAATGTATCATTTCCAACATATGAAAGATGGGTGCTGCTCCTGCCCAACAATGTGACTTGGAAGACCTGACAATATCAATTTACAATGGACAGTTCCAGTTGCATAGTCACTGATGTCAGAGTCGGAACTTAGGCTGTAATAGGCCCCAGGAACCCAACAGGAGCTGCTTTTCAGGCAGCTATAAAAGAAAAAGAAATTACACCCAAACTCAAGAGTATAGTCTGAAAATTTCCTACTGGGATCTAGCAGAGACTCCACAAGGCATCTTTGTCTATGATGAGTACCTCTGGTTTACCTAGATCTACTGGATTATATGGCCTGAGTAGTAAGACAGTTTATACCATAGCCTAAATCTGACACAGAGCCCATGCTTGCTCTGGGTCCCACCTAAAACTGGAATCCTTTCAAGTCACACAGTGAAAGGGTCAGAGCACTAGTTTTAAGTGTGTTGTATCTTGTCTCTGAAATCCAAAGCAGTAGACCAAGAGCTGTGTTGTTTTAGTGGATGGGATACACGATGTAGTAACATATCCTATTCATGGAGAGGATATCCTCCAGATCATCAAACTTTTAAAACTTCACTGACATGTCAGGCCCTGAATATTTGAAGGGTTTGTCTTCAACCATCTGGCATGCAATGTGTCTTTGCAGGTGATATGGTTTGGCTCTGAGTCCACACCCAAATCTCATTTTGAATTATAATCCCTATGTGTCAGGAGAGGCACTTGGTGGGAGGTAATTGGATTATGGGAGCAGTTTCCCCCATGCTATTTTCATGATAGTGAGTGAGTTATCAGAATATCCGATGGTTTAAAATTGTGGCACTTCCCCCTTTGCTCTTTCTGTCTCCTGCCACCATGTAAGATGTGCCTTGCTTCTCCTTTGTCTTCCATAATGATTGTAAGTTTCCTGAGGCCTTCCCAGTAATGCAGAACTGTGAATAAATTAAACCTCTTTTCTTTATAAATTACCCAGTCTCAGGTAGTTCTTGATAGTAGTGTGAAAATGGACTAATAGAGTAGCCCAGGGTACTTGCTACTCATTGCTTTCCAGGTCCAATGAACATATCCTCTCATTTGCAATGACATGGATGGACCTGGAGGACATTATGTTAAGTGAAATAATCTAGGCACAGAAATATAAATACTGCGTATCTCACTCATTTTTAAAAAAATGGAATTGGAGGGCCAGACATGGTGGCTCATGCCTGTAATCTCAGTACTTTGGGAGGCTGAGGTGGGTGGAACATGAGGTCAGGAGATCGAGACCATCCTGGCCAACATGATGAAACATGTCTCTACTGAAAATACAAAAATTAGCTGGGTGTGGTGGTGGGAGCCTGTAGTCCCAGCTACTCAGGAGGCTGAGGCAGGAGAATCGCTTGAACCTGGAGGTGGAGGTTGCAGTGAGCCGAGATTGCACCACTGCACTCCATCCTGGGCAACAGAGCAAGACTCTGTCTCAAAAAAAAAAAATGGAATTGGAATTTTTAGAAAATCGATCCCATAGAAATAAAGAATAGTGGAATGATGGTTACCAGAGGTTGGGATGACTGGGGAGTGGGGGAGATGATTGTCAGAGCACAGAAAATGACAGTTAGATAAAAGGAATAAATTCAAAAATAAATTGCACAACATGATAACTATTGTACTTAATGATGGTATATTGTATTCTTGAAAAATGATGAGAAAGAATATTAAGTGTTCTCACCAGAAATCAATAATTTTCATTTTCTTCAACTGTGTCTACTCTGCTGATTATCCCATCTAGGCAGTTTAAGTATCAGTGACTATTTTTTTTATCATAGAGTTTTTAGAATTTTAATTAGTTTCTTTTTCAGGATATTTTTGTAGATCTTATCTTAGGACTTTTGAATTACTTCTTTGCTTATCAGCTTAGGCAAGTGTATTTTACTTTCTCTTGTAGATGTTGATCTCTTTTACCAAATTTTTGGCATTTTTAATTATGCTGTTTCCCTATTAGATGATCCTTTTTATGATGCATTTTTCTCTTGTTTTGTATTGTTTTGTTTAATGTTTTGAACACATATCTAGTGAGGCTTTATTTAATTTCTCATGGTTGTGAGATGCACTTTTGTATTTTTATTGGTTACCCAGATCCCAGATTAGGACAGACAAGCTTCTTTGTCAACTCCTTGTGATGCAGACATTTTTTTCTGTGAGTCTTTCATAGGTAAAGTTTATGAAGGGGTAACATTTCCAAATTCCAGTCTCAGGGATAAAGTTTATGAAGGAGCATCATTTCCAAATCCCAGTCTCACAAAAGTCCTGGTCCTCACCTTCTGCCATAGTATGAGTATTTAACTCAAACTCTTAGGTTACTAAAGTTGAATTCTTTCCTGCTCCTCCACTGACAATAGCCCTACGGTTGCGTTCCATTTTGACTTCTCTGGTTTTCACTTGTCTCTGCATTTATGTAACCTAGAGATTCCTTTTCTTTGTTGAGAGCTGAATTTTATATCTTGAAGAATGTTTATTATCCACATGTTAATTAGTGCACATTAATTCTAATTCTTATTTCCACATGCTTTTAAAGAAAGTTTAAAAAGAATTTGATGTTCCATATTTCAGGAAATGTTTACAGATGATTGAAAATTTTACATGTACAAAAACAGGAAAATTATAAAGTAATGTAAATCTTTATACACTTATATCCAATATTGACAATATTGTTTCATCTATATCCTACTCATTCTTGCCCACATTATTTTGGACATGTTTCAGACATGAAATAATTTCACTCACAAATATTTCTGTATATATCTCTGAAATAAAGGGATTTTTCTTTGGTAACTAACACAATATTCATATCACATTTAAAATTATTCATAATACCTTATCTTCAAATATCTAATTATCACATATATTTATGAAACAAATATATTACAAGGGTATTTATTAAAGAAACAGAGTCATCTGTGCTGTGTAGTTTTATACAGTGTAATTTAACTTATACCTCTGATGTCTATTTTCTGTAAGTTGGATCTACAGCCTTGATCTCATTTGTGTTCAATTTTTTTTTTGGCAATAATACTTCTTAGGTAATGTAATATTCTTTCATCAGGAGACATATGATGTCTGGTTGTCTCTATTTCTTTGATATTAGCAGCTGTTCATGTTTAATGACTAAAGCCATTCATTAAATGGGATTTGTTAAATGGTGATATTCTAAATTTAACATTGATTCTTAACTTAATAGCTGAGCTATTTCTATAATGAGCAACTTTTCCCTTCTCCAGTGACAGAATGTATATAGGAAAGCAGGATTAAATTTATCACTTAGTTAGTAGTTTGCAGAAGAATGTGTTTTTTTTCACTAGGATTAACCTTCTTATTAATATTTGATAAACTCATGGTTTTAATCATATATGATGTATTGCATATATCATGGTTATTGTTGCTATTAGCATCAGTGAGAACATCTTCACCAGGAAAAATAAAAATAGAATATATGTAATTATCTGCTTGTTGTATTCTACGTTACAGAATAAAAATCTCAAGTAAAAATACCATCAATATCCTACCATCTACAATATAACTACTAAAGAAGAGTTTTTAAATTCTTTTGTCCTGGCCAGGCACAGTGGCTCACTCTTGTAATCCCAGCACTTTGGGAAGCCAAGGCAGGTGGATCACTTGAGGCCAGGAGTTTGAGACCAGCCTGACCAATATGGCGAAACCCCATCTCTAAATATTTAAAAAAAACACAAAAATTATTGTATCTCCATGAAAAAATACAAAAATTATTGTTTCCCCATGAAAAAATTCAAAAATCATCTGGGCATGGTGACATGTGCCTGTAGTTCCAGCTACTCAGGTGGCTGAGGCAGGAGAATCGCTTGAACCCAGGAGGTGGAGGTTTTAGTGAGTGAGCCAAGATCAGGCTAGTGCACCCCAGCAGGGGAGACAGAGCTAGACGCTGTCTCAAAAAAAAAGAAAAAAAAATCTTTTCTGCTTATGCTATAATTCACTACAGACATGCAAATTATCATGTTCTTTTAATTCACTTAGACTAGATCCTTTCTATATTGATATATCACCAACTATATGCAAATTTAGATTTGTTTGTTTTAGTTTCAATTTCTAGAGATTTCCTTCTTTTTAAAATGCAATTTTGTTTTATGTTCATAAAAATAATAGAAATTTCAAAATTAAATATCTAAAGCAGTATATCTTCAAAGAAGTTATATACATGCCTCTTGTATTGCCATCTTTATAAATAGCCATCTTTAAAATTTTACGTATATATATTTATGTCGTCTGATTTATTTAAATAAAAGAGAGTGTGCCATATACTTTCCTCAACTCTTTTTCATTTTAGTAATATATCTGGGATATTATATGGCCTAATAAAAGAAATATTTCTTATTATTTATTATAATTGACTAACATACCACCATATGGATTATGTTTATTCAACCATTGTTCATTCAACCAATGCCTTAGAAATGGAGTTTTTGAGCAGACCATTTAAAATGCATGTTGTTACACACATAGTAGAGTATTATTTATATTTCATATCCTGGATGCTGAATTTCTATTAATGTAGTCTAAGTATTGGAGATGAAAATTAGTAAGAATAAAATGATCTCTTACAGTAAATATCATTGGATGTTACATAATCTTATTTATCTCATTCTGATTACTTGAAACACATCTAGAAATTTATATACATTTTTGTTGTTTCACTTTTTAAAGCTAAGCCCATATTTTTAGTTTAAAAAGAACTTTCAAAATTTCGAGTTTTGTTTCTACTAGGTGTGGACAAAATACAAATTTGACAAATACGCTTTCTATTATTTCATTAAAGTATTTGGTAAAATTGAAATACATTTCCAAGTCAAATATATGACCTGAGAATACTCTAATAGTGCTTCTGCCTGAGACACTGACCATCAGTCAGTCATATTAAGGGTAGTTTTCAGTCAGAAATGACTCAGCATGAACATTACTCTCCGAAATTATAGTATTTCTTTAAATATTCCTCAGAGTAAGTAGCCTTTTTTAAAGTATTTGGATTTTTTAAAATTTAAAGTATATACAAAAAATTAAAATTATGCCAAGAATGTAAACAGATTTGAATCTAGAGATAGCAAATGTCTAAGATATTAACAAAGTATCAACTGAATAGACCAGGTATTGCCAAACATCTGGAAAACAAGATGCATTAGTTATAATGTCCTAGATTTTTATAGTGTTTTTACATTTACCTAGCACCACCTTCTCTAATTTACTAGACCCACATAACAACTCTGCAAAGAAAAGGGCAAATCCAACCAACTCCATGGGAAAAATCTAACTCAGAAAGGAACAGCTTTCTGTAGTGGATATATTAATACAGTTAGTTAACTGATGGGCAAATTTTGCTACTCATGTATTCTAATTTCATGACAAATATCACAAATACAAATAAGGGCAAGGCTCCGTGTCATTTTGTGAGCCTGTGTAAAGCCAGCATTTAACTGGCTTCTTAAAGAATTGTCTGAGGGAATCTGAAAATTGAAGCCCTGAAAACAGAGTTCAGATTAAACTGACTCCAGTATCAGCTACTTTTTTTTTTTTAATAGAGACAGGGTCTCGCTCTGTCACCCAGGCTAGAGTGTCGTGGCATGAACCAGCTAATTTTTAATTTATTTTTTATTTTTGTGGAGGTGGAGAGGTCTCATTATGTTGTCCAGGCTGGTCTTGAACTCCTGGCCTCGGGTAATTCTCTCTCTTTGGCTTCCCAAAGTGCTAAGATTACAGGCATGGGCCACCATGCCTGGCCAACTAAGCTTCTTTTTCAGTGGCTTGTATAATTGATAAGATGATAAACTACACACACACACAAACACACACATAAGTATTAAAATGGAAAATACTAAACAGTAACATAATTTCAAGTCAAGACTCTTAAAATCACTACAGTTAGATACTATGCTGGAATTCAAGAAAACTGTATAAAGAATTTGTGAAAATGAATTTTCTTCCCCATGATCATGAAACAAGCTGAGCTTCTAAAGCTATTTGGATCCTGAGCTATGGTAAATTAAGAGTGTAGAGGTGGAATGTGCCCAATAAATCATCCTACAGAGACGTGAAAGTGTAGAATTCCCCAGAAAAGCAGGCACAGGTGACAAATACTCAGCGTGATGGTGGCCTTTCCTGTATCACCTGGTAGGTAATACAGTGAAGGCAGAGACCCGTCTAGCTCAAAGAAGTCCAGGATTTTGGTAACTTCAGGATTCCTGCTGGTGTCATGCTGACAGCTGATGTGTCTCAGTCTAGATAAAAGAAATAGGTTTTCATAAAATTTTATCTAGGTTAACTTCTCTAGGCTATTTCTTGTCACCTTGGTGCCTATTCCTCCTTGCCAGAACAGCCTATATACAATAATAAAACAGGGTGGCTGTTATCAGCAAAGGAGATGAAGTGGGATTTCTTCTCATTCACTCATTTATTAGCCATTGAGATGCCCAGGTGTGTAACAAAGGCCAAAACTTTCTGAAAGCCTCTTTTCCATTCCGGCTCTCTGAATCAATGGCTTAAGGAGTGTGCACATCCTCCTCATTATAAAATCTCAATAGATAAGCATATTGAGTACATAGATCCAACATAGCAAATATAAAAATTTCAACTTTACTCATAGTCTGATGACAAACCAACAGTAAACTATTCCAAGAAAAATGGAGTATAAAGTAGTGAAAGCCTTAGCAGTGATTATGGAAGTCACTTTCTTAGAGAAGTAAGAGGGATGTAAAACGAAGGCCAAACTGGCAACATGGTTTTAAAGCATTTTATACCTTTGTTCCTTTAACAGTAAGCCCAGTGTATTTTACTCAATTTCTGTTTGAGTGATTGATTATTTTAAGCCCCATAAAAATTGACCAACATGGAAACCTATAAAGAGTTGCTAATATATGCTAATATATGAGTGAAGTGTAAGCATGTAAAAAAGCAATATGGGAGATTTAATTACAATATTCTGTGATTCTCAGGTCTTTATCTATGAAATGGAGATATAATATCCTGAAGGGTTGTTGAGATTGTTATGTTATAATACCTAGCGTTCAACTGATATTAAATACAGTTATTATTATGATTTGTAAATCATAATAGTAACTATTTGTTTAGTATCAGTTGAGAATTGAGATAAATTTATGTAGAAAAGGAAGAGAGATGGTAAAGCAGATGTCCATGTGACTCCAGAGCTATTAAACTAAAATACAAATGTGATATATAAAGTAATTAAAAAGAGGGTTTACATTTGTTAGATTTTCTTTCTCTTGCTCCAGTTACAGCTTTTACTTATCCATTGATAAAATAAGTACCATGTTAGGAGTAGACAATAAACAAATTCAGACAGATTTAGCATGCGGAAAAATGGATAAGCACTTGGACTTTAACATTAGAAGTAATTCTCTCCAAAAAACTGAAAATACATTCTACCCACTTTATCTACAATCTCCACAGAGTCAGTGCAGGATCTTCCAGAGAAGTGGTATATTGTCATGAGCCTCAACCCTCAAAGAAGAATAACATCCTTAAAAATAAGAAACTTTGAAATAAATGAGATAATAAGAATGAGATAATCTTAGAATGTTAGGGATGAAAGAATATCAGAAGCACAATCAATAAATGGTGCTAGGAAAACTGGATATCCACATGCAAAAGAATGAAATTGTACGCTTTTCTTCCACCATATACAAAAACCAGCTCAAAATGCACTAAAGACTTAACTTTTAGATCTGGAACCATAAATTTCCTAGATAAAAACATAGGGGAAAAGCTCCTTGATATTGGTCCTGGCAATGAGTTTTTGATACGACATCAAAAACACAGACAATGAAAGCAAAAATAAACAAGTGTGACTATATCAAACTAAAAAGCTCCTGCACAGCAAAGGTAACAACAAAATGAAAAAGCAACCTATAAAATGGGAGAAAATATTTGCACATCATGTATCTGGTAAGGGGTTAATACCTAAAATATACGAGAAATACACACCACTCAATAGCAAAACCAAGCCCCTCCCTCAAAACCCCCACAAATCCAAATAACCTGATTTTTTACATGAGCAAAAGACTTGAGCAGATATTTTCCCAAAGAAGACAAAAAATGAACAACAGGTATATAAAAAGGTGCTCAACATCACTAATTATCAGAGAAACACAAATTAAAACCATAACGAGATATCATTTCACACTTGTTAGGATGGCTTTTATAAAAAGACAAGAGATAACAAGTGTGTGGATAACAAAGGTGTGGAGAAAAGGAAACCCTTTTACATGATTTATGGGAATGTAAATTGGTACAGCCATTATGGGAAACAGTATGTAGGTTCCTCAAAAAGTTAAAAATAATACTACCATATAATCCAACAATCTAACCTTGAGGTATATATCCAAAAGAAATAAAACTAGTATATGGAAGAGATATATGTACCCCCATGTTCACTGTGGCATTACTCAGCATACTCAAGATATAGAAACAACTTTAGTGTTCATTGACAGATGAATGGATAAAGAAATTATAGTATATTTTGCAATGGAATACTATTCAGCCATAAAAAAGAAAGAAATTCTACCTTTGCTACAACATGAATAAACCTGGAGGACATTATGTTAAGTGAAACAGCCAGACACAAAAGGACACGTACTGTATGATCTCACTTGTATGTGGAATCTAAAGCAGTTGAACTTACAGAGGCAGATAGTAGAATGGTGGTTGCCAGGGGCCAAGGACTCGGAGAAATCGGTCAGAGGATACAAATTTTTAGCTATAAGATGAACATGTTATAGGGATGAAATATACAGCATAGGTGGTGATGGTTATATTAATTTGGTTATAATAATCGTTACATAATGTATATGTATATCAAATCAAATCATTACATAATGTATTTGTATATCAAATCATTATAATAATCATTACATAATGTATATCAGATATATACCTTGAATATATTCAATCTTTATTTGACAACGAAATGTTTTAAATTTAAAAAAACACACAATACTGTCAGCACTTGAACATTCTCAGCCTTGCTCTCTCCTCCACAAACATCCTGAGTGGCCAGAGACCACAGGTGTTAGTTGAGTGCAATGAAGCATACTTTATGATGTGCTTGAATGAGACAAAGGCCCTACCTATTCACCTTTAATATAAAGCATTTAGCATGGTGCCTAGAATGCACAGGAGTCACTAAAGTAAATGTTTAGTTGGCAAATACATACTTCAAATGAAATAGCAACAGAAAGGACAATTTTAAAAATCATTCAGTAAATATTTTCTCAAATAATTATTTTTATAAAATAATTTTGTAAATAGTTTTACAAAACAATGGGTTTCTTTGCCCATTGTTCTAAAAGTGTTAGCAGCTAAAACTTTTTTGTATTATAAAATGTCCTCAGACATATCAGAAGAGCTGACATCGTATGCTTTGCTATGTGATGGCTGCCTAAGCATATTCCTTGAGTAATATGAACACAGATTTTTATAAATAAAAATATGTAAACAAAATTCTTTTTTTCAGAGGCAACATATTAGAGCAGATAAATCTATTTCTGTAACAGGAAGTCTGGACTATAATATGTGAAAACCTAATACCTAGTTAGAGGTAGTAACTGTATGTAGTAATCATCATTCTCTTATGTTTAGATGTCTAATAAATATAAATAAAATATAATAATACAAATAAATAATAAATACAGAAATAACTTATGCTTCACATGGCAAGTTTCAATAGACTTGAATTTAATTTTTTGACTTGTTAATATGATACCATATTTTGTCAGAGGGAAAATTTTCTGCTAAGAAGTTTGGTTGCATGATCCTCAAACAGAGGGAATCTTAATGCACGGGACTACTACAGTTAAATTCAAATTTCATTCAACTGTCCTTAACCTGGCTTATATTGATGTATCCTTGGAATGTGTAACCTGACAAAGAGATTCTTGGCGATTCCCAATGTGTAGAGAAGCAGGGATTAAATCCACATGGCTTTTGTCACCTAAAAATGAATAAAGTTAGAAATAGTTGAGTGTCAAATATTTTTGAGTGTCTAAGAAGCCACTGGAGTTTTCGGAGCAACCATACAGGATAAATTCTAAATGTCAGAGCATGTGATTTTCCAAATTCATTTATTTATGCAAATAATTTAACTCTGTGTCTTGTTTTACTTATGTTTTAGGATGGCATTTTTGAAGTTTAGCTTAGGTAATTTTTTTCTATGATTTTCTTTTGCTAATTGGACTCTGATTAACTCAGGTATGAGGGCACAAGAATGGCATGATACAGCAGAAATGCAGAGACAGGAAAAAAGTAAAGCACTGTTGCTTTTTAATACAAAATATTAAAGCCTTAATGAAATGGTGCGCACTCATGCACATAGACAATTACTGTGGGAAAATATACAAAAAGAGATAAAAGATTCTCATGCTAGAACAGAGAAATATCCTGGAGTTAGAGGGATTGGAGAAAAATAAAGGAAATATAAACAGTAACATGAGGGTCCCAAAAGGAAGGACTAAGTTACAAATTATACAAGAAAGTGTACCAGATACACTTGCACCTTGGAGAAAGAAAATGTACAAGATGCAATTGTACCTTGGATATACAAAATGTACGTGGAAGAGTCAGCATTCAGAATGCTCCTAGTCACTAGCAGCCACTTGAGGAAATCTCATCCGTTACCTACACCTGGGAACTAAATGCTTAGCCACACAGAACCCCTAGCCTACAAGCATTGATCAACAAGCTTACCTGTGCCAAGAATTAAATATAACTTCACTCTCCACTAGCCAAGAGGACTTCCTTAGGCAGCAGCAAGGGTGCTTCCTTTAGACTTTCCAGGAACGGTGAAGCCATTTAATGCTTCTTAGTCCCCACTTGACTAAGAAGGTCTGGCTAGAAAGCTTCCTTCTTATTTGCCAGAACATGAGAAAGCTCTGTGATGGATAGCAGAACTTTGAATATCATTAGAGAAAAATCGCACTTGACAGAGTTAAACAGGCAAGGAAGATTTTATTCAAGACCACTGAAACAGGGTCAAGACTAATGTAATAGGAAAGAGAGCTTGAACTCAACTCAGAATACAACAGGGACAAGTGGAGATTTATAGCCAATGTGCAGAGTGAAGGAATGGATGGGAAATTACTAAGGAGAACTTGGTTAGGTATTAGGGATAGGGGAAGAGGAACTTGGTTAGGTATCAAGAGTAGGGGAAGAGGAACTTGATTGGGTGTTAAGGGTTGGGGGAAACTCTCTGAATTGACTTAGCAGGATTCTTTGATAAAACTAGGCTCAGCAGGCCAAGAATGGGACCAAAACAAGGCCTAGTTGAAAAGAGGGCTCAGTGGATTCTAGTTAGTGTTTGGTCAGGGAGAGAGTCCTTGTCAATATCTATGGGAAGAAGGTGCTATGGAAGGAGCATCACCCTTTCTCCCCCCGACCCACTTGGCAACTCCTGTCACTCAATACCCTCACAGCCTTCCTGGCCTCTCTGAATCTATAATTACACTCTTTAGACTGAAAAACCTGAGAAACAAACTGCCTCAGTAACATTCATTTTTCATGAATTATTTGTGCTACCCAATGATACCATGTCTAGGGCAAAACTCCTTGCCACTGGCCTCTACTGTGAAGGAAAATCATCAGGTTAAATATTCTGGAAATTTAAATCTTCCAGCTTATATTTCTTTAGTTTGACAGTTCAGCATTCTGCATGATACTTAGAATAGGTGTATATTTATTTAAAATTAACAACTTCTACCCAGTATTTGGTAAATCTAGACCAATGGTTCTTATCTCATGGAATTACCTGGGTTACTTTGTAAATGTATACATTCTCAGACATAGTTCTGGATGAACTGAATGAGAATTTATCCAGCATGGCTTGGGGATGGAGTCAGCCTTATGTATTTTTACAAAGCTCCCAGTAAATTGTGATGACTATACACATTTTTGAAACAGTAATCTTGAGAAATGTCCTCCAGGGTGGTACTCACACACCAGAGCTCAAAATGAGAATACTGGATCATCAAAATACATAAATCATAAAGAAATAGATTGTCTTAGAGATTGCTTTGGCGACTACAAAATATTTGTGAAAATTATATAATTTTAGTTTAGCTGTAATTAATAATAATTGAGTGCATTCTATTTGCCAAATTCTATATATGAGCTGGAGTAATCCTTACATTGGCTCTATGATATCACTCTCTTTACTTAAAACTGAGGCATTAGAAGTTAAGTAATGTTGTCAAGGTCATGTAGAATGTGACAGTGCCAGAAATAACACTCAAATGCACAAAAGTCACTTCTTCTATTATACAATACAGCCTCAACATTTTTTTTTATCAATTAGAACTTTTATTTTTAATTAGTAGTCACAGTTACCTGAAGAGTTTGGAAGTAAAAGAAAGATAAAATTTTAAAAAAAATCATCTATATGCTCATTATGTGGTTAATTAATGTTAATATTCTAAAATATTCTTATATCCCTATGTGTATTTTACTTGATATACGTAGCTTTTATTTGTGATATGAGGTATATGTCTGGAAATATGATGTTCAGCTTAAAAAATATTTGCCATTAGCATTTTCGATTTCACTATGACATCTATAAAAATTTCACTCTCTATGGTTGCCTAATATTTTATTAGCGCAATGTAATTATTTTTCTGTTTTTGGACTCTAATTGTTTTTGAGTTTTAGCTATTATAAAAAAACATTGGATACTTCAATTAAGTTCTTACAATAATAACATTTAATAAACATATATATATACACACATATGCACACATATCAATATTTGTGCAAATATCTTACTCTAGGATATATTCCTGAAAGACTTATTTGTTAAAAAGAGAAAATAATATAACAATTCTAAATACATTGTGTAAAACTCCTTTCTAGAAAGCCATATGTCTTAGCTTGACCTTCTATAACAAAATACTATTCACTAGGTGGCTTAAGCAACAGAAATTTATTTCTCTCACTTCTGGAAGCTAGGAAGTCTGAGATTAAGATGTTGGCCAATTTCGTTTTTGGTGAATGCCTTCTTCTTAGCTTGCGAACAGCTACTTTCCTGGAATATTCTCATATGGCAGAAAGAAAGAGAGCTCTGGTCTCTTCCTCTCCTTATAATAACACTAATCCCATCACGGGGCTCTACCATCATGACCTCATCTACTAAAACTACCTAGCTCCCAGAGGCCTGACCTCCTAATACCAACACATTAGGGGTTAGGAACCTCTCAACACTTGAAACTTGGAGGGACACAAGAACTCACTTCATAACAACCTATAAGCTTACAATAGCAATGTATGAAGTGATTTTTATTATATTCATTCCTTCATTGAATAGTATCATTTTTCATCTTTGCTAATATGATAAAGAAAGTGATATCTTAACACAGTTTTCATGCTTCTGTTAAAGATTTTTTTTTTTTGAGACAGAGTCTCGCTCTGTTGCCCAGGCTGGAGTGCAGTGGCACAGTCTCAGCTCACTTCAACTTCTGCCTCCCGGGTTCAAGCGAGTCTCCTACCTCAGCTTCCTGAGTAGCTGGGATCACAGGCATGCACCACCATGCCCAGCTAATTTTTGTATTTTTCAGTAGAGATGGAGTTTCACCATGTTGGCCAGGCTGTTCTCGAACTCCTGACCTCAAATGATCCACCCGCCTCGGCCTCCCAAAGTGCTGGGATTACAGACGTAAGCCACCTCTCCTGGCCAGTTAAACATTTTCTATACTTTTTAAAATAAATAGTATGTCTGTATCCTGGGTTTTTCCATAGAATTTTCATCTAACGACAATGACAACAGCGGAAGCTTACATTCTATGGAACATTACTCTTTGCACTATCTGAATGCTTTACATGAGTTACCTAATATGCTCCTAATAAACACTCTTGCTGTCTTCATTTTATTTATTAGGAAACTGAGGCCCAGAGAGGTGAAGAGAATTGCCCAAGACTGCGCAGCTAGCATGTTCTCTCTTTATATCGATGTTGAACAATGCTTTTTCTATAATAATATGTTTTTGTTTTTGTAGATAACTTCCCAAGGTTGTTATTTATCTTTCAGTTTTATTCATTTTTGTGTAGAAATTAAATGTTTGTATGTGATCAAATTATCAACTTGTTTAATGATTTCTTTCTTTGTTTCAAAGACTAAATAGTATCTGTTCTATTTTGGAAAATAATATTCGACCATATTTCTAGTTTTTAAGATACTTGGAATATATTCTATAAATGATATAAGATGGGAACCTAAACTTAGATTATTTTTTCATGATAATCCGTACTTTAAAATTGATTTGTTGACCAACACCTTATTTTTCTGTTGCCTTGTGATTTTTGTTTATTATATGCCATATTCATATATGTACACTCTATTATTTTATATTCTCTTCAACACATATCACTCTGTTTCAATTATTGTAATATTGTAAAGCTTTTAAATACTGGTTAAAATGATGTCTAGAATTCTGATCAATGTTCAATCTGGGAGAATATTTTCTCAAAAAAGGAATAAAGAAGAAAATGAAATTATAAGATCCACACAAAAAATCAGAGGTCAGTAAAGTGAAATCTATGAGGTTGTAGTGCCATACTAGGTAATGATATTGGAGTGAAACACAGTATAAATCTACAGATAATATTATCGTGTACTGTTGTATGTTATGCACCTGAACATAACTTTCAGTGCTCTAATATCTTTTCTGGTCTGAATATTATAATTTTAGGGTTTCATTGGCCAATAAAAGATGGCTTTGGATAAAATGCATATCAGAACTCATTAGAATTGCCTTTCCAATTTTTGATTACTACATCCTTCCTTACTCAGATTTTTCTAGCATTTGAAATTTTCATCATTTTCCAATACTTTAGTTTTGGACATTGATACATTCCCTCCACAAAAATGATATACTACCTTTTTGCACTCCCTCTGTTATAAAAGAGTCACACACCAGAAATTTACTCAAATCTTGGAATATTTTTATCCCCAGTAAATTTTTTATCCATATTCAGTAAAAATGACACTGAAAAGGTGCATAGGTTACATGTGTTTTATAACTAAACAATTCAATTAAAATTCACAAAGATTCATTAAGTTTTTACTGTATGTCTAACATTGTGCTTTAGGCTAAAGATAGAAAAATCCACAAACATAGGCCTGAACAAGAAGAGTTTCTTTCTCTGCTGAATGCTTAAATAGGCCACATAACAATGGTTGTGAAATAATTAAACACAAATGTTCCCCTATGCTGCCACAGGAAAAGCAGATCTTGCTTAAGGAAACATCTCTTCCCCATTTATATTAGTGCAACTGAGACACTAATCAGAAAATAAAAATATCCTTTCTTGCCAAAAACCAATTTTAACTCTAGCATTGATACCCACTCATTATCACAATACACATAATCCAAACATAGAACAGATCATGAAGATGTTGACAACAGGCCATCCAAATACACTAAGTGAATAATAGTGGCGATTTTACAGCTCAGTTGCATTAAACAAACCTCTGAATAAATCAATGGATAAAGTCAGCACTGAACGTGAACTTATGGCTTAGTAAAAAAATTGAACAAGAACCCTGAAACAATCTCTCATCCTAAGGCAGAGAGCCTAGGATAGGATGTGTGGGACATAGGAAAAAATGATGGTAAAAGAAACCTTTAGAACTAAGGCAAATCTTTGATGAGTAAGAGCTAGAAACTCATGGCAGAACCACTTCACTATATAGACTTCAGCATTTGCTACATATTTTCAGTAGCAATAAACAGAGTATGAGTTATCATGAATGCAATAAAATGATCTGGTCAAAAGAACTAAGGTAATGAATTGCAAGTAAACCAGATAAAATGGACCCACTTTTTAAAGTATACCAAACTCCAGCAACATGCAATTTACCCATATAACAAACTGGCACACATACTCCCTAAACCTAAAAAAAGAAGCTGAAAAAGAAAAAAAAATAGTCAAAGCCTTAATACTCTACCTCAGGGAAATCAGGTAAGCAGCACCTTTATTCTCCTGGTGCCACCCTAATAAGACTTCTGCTGTGATAGGCCACATATTACATTCCCAGATAAGAAAATCACTGTTTCTCTTAGGATTTTACTTAAACTTTCTTCATCTGATGTATTGGTAGTGTCAAGTCAAAACACCTAAAATATCATTAAAGAAGACATATTCCACCCTATTTAATACATCTCTCTTCTATTTCAGCTAACACTGTTGCCAAAATACTCCTGGAAATTACAACAATAATAGTTTTATCCTCAAGAGGAACCGTAATGTTAAGCCCTCAATCAATAGGATGTGTCCTTTAGCATCCCACTTCCTTGGGATAAAAGAAGATTGGGGAAGGGGTTTTGGTTGAGCCATGTCCAGCCTCACATAATTCTTCATTGCTCTTAACATCCTCAAAGTACCCTATGAGACTATGTCTTAGAACCTGGAGCAAGAAATACACAAGAGCCTCGTGAGGACTGGAACTAGGGACCGAAGAGTCAGAAATCCACCCAGCTTACTACCCCTAATCTACATAGTCTTTCTCTCTCTCTCTTTCCTTCTCTCATTTCTATCTCTTTCTCCACCTCCCTCTCTCTTTCTCTATCTCTATCTCTGTCTTCCTTCCTTTCCATCTGTGTCCATCTCATTTTCCATATTAGTCCTTTCTGTTTTATATGTCTATAACACCTCATACACATCTCTATAGGGCTTCTCAAGTAAAGCAATCACCTGGGTCTTGTCTAGTTGCTTAAAGTCATATATATTTCCAATACTCGATGGAGAATATGATTGGCCCAGCTTAGGTAAATTCTCCCTTGTTGATTCAATTAGGTACACTAAAGATGATACTAGAGGTCTGGAAGACAAATATTTTTGTGATAAAGCAGAAACAAAAAGATGAGAAAATGAAATAATCGACTTCTTTATATACTGTTGCTGTTGACAGTGTCTGAGTAAAGCCTCTTGAGCAGTCAGGCTATGCAGCCAGGAGGTTGGAATAAGAATCTGTAAGTTTTTTTTCCAAATTGGAGATAAAGACATAAAATCCACAGTTATAAAATATTAATAGCAATAGTATTAAAGAATTGATGCATCACATTAAAATTTTTAATGAAATGACTAATTGCACAATGAACCATTGAGCACTTTTCGTATAAAAGGAACTTTATTATCTATGATATGTTACATGTTTTATATCACATTACGCTTATTATATATTACATATTCTATAGAATATATATTATATGTAATATAGGCTATATTACATAATACCATATTATATATGTATATGTACACACACACACATATAAAATATTATATAACATTTAAACTATGAGGTAGGTTCCAATTTATCACCAATAAACAAGAAAACTAAAATCTACTTAATTCATTTATTTGTATTGTATATATTTAATATGTATAACATGATGTTTTGATACACATATATGCAATAAAATGATTACCACAGTCAAGCAATTAACATATCCATCACCGCACATAGTTACCTTTTTTTGTAGTAAAAGCACCTAAAATCTACTCCCTTAGCTACATTTTAGCATATAATATAATACTATAACTATATTCCTCATGCTGTGCATTCAGCCTCTAGACTTACTCATCCTACATAACTACAAGTTCGTACCCTTTGACATTCATCTCTCCATTTTTCCCTTCCTGAACCCCTGGTAAGCACTGTTATGCTGTTTCTATATATTTGACATTGAAAAAACATTCCATCTGTATGTGAGATCGTGCCGCATTTTTCTTTCTGTTTCTAGCTTATTTCACTCTTAATAGTGTCCTCCAGGTTCATCTATGTTGTTGCAAATGCCAACGCAAATTCTTTGTGAATGCTTCAATTTGAAGATTATAAAGTATCAGCAAATGGAGAAATCAGTGAAATACCAAATATTGGATCCCAAGTTTCTGTTTCTCTATAGTTAATATTAATTTGATGGATAGAAAATATTCATTTAAATCTGAAATTTTATGGGACATCTTAACAGAAATCCTACATTATAAATTTTAATATTGGAGGAGTCTTTTAATGCCCTTGAGTTCAGATTCTTGGCATTTCGAAGTGTGGTACATTTTGTAGGTGTGACTTAATTATAAAGTGAAGTAATATATTTGACTATAGGTCAAAATGGGCCCACAATATTTAAAAAACTATCTGTCTATAAAATACTTAGATTGATGTTTTCTAAATGTGTTTTAGAATGAATCCCCATACTGCTGTCCTCCAAAAAAAAAAAAAAGAAAAAAAATGTAATCTATTCCCTGGATAATGCTTATTAAAAAGAAATCATAATTTCCTAAACATTTTTATTAACCAACCTACTGACTTAAAAGTTTTCTGACAAAAGAATAGCAATAGATTCCAAGTAACTTTGTACTCAAAAAGGATATGAAAATTATGCTTGAATCATTCAATTCAATTTATCCTAATTAGTGTAGTTTTGTTTTTTAGATATAAAACAGTTTTTTGATAAATTTCACTCTCTCTCTTTCTCCCTTTTTCTCCTTTAAGAACCAAGTTTGTGGGACAAGAGTCCAAAGAGTAGTTGGAAAAGCGGGCTCTTTTCTTCGGAATTATTAACATTCTGTGTTTTCACTAGTACATTAATTATTATAGCTGTTCTCTTGTCTATGTAACCAGGCATTCATTACTGGACTAAAAATGGCTGTGGAATTTGCTTCATGAAGGACCAGCTGAAGCAGCTGTCCATTAATATCACTATCTAACAAATGATACACTTGGGACATCTGATGGTGAAGAAAAAGGATATTTAAAAAGTCCGACTTGCTTAATACTATACAGGTAGTAAGTAACAGAGGCAAAACTCCAAAGTAAGTTTGAAAGCAAAGCATAGCTCACTGTTTTATATTAGGAAAACTGTAAAAATGTGTTCTAAGGTTTTCTTTTTTTAAAATTATTTAAGCTTTTCAACATTTAAAATCTTCAATCAAATACATCTCTTAAATATAAACTCAATTTTATTTTATTTATACTATTCTCTGTTTAAACTTTACGTGTATAAATATATACATATAGACACATACAATTGACCCTTATGCAACACAAGTTTGAACAGTATGGGCTCACTTTTTCAATACAAGTTACCATGAGTATGCCTGCTTCTCCAGCCTCTCCTTTTACTTCCTTTACCTCTTACATCTCTCCCACCCCTGAGACAGCAAGACCGACCCTTCCTCTTTCTCCTGCTCCTTAAATCACTCAATGTGAAGACAACAAAGATGAAAAACTTTATGAAAAGTCACTTCAACTTAATGAATAGTAAATATGTTTTTTCTTCCTTACGATTCTCTTAATAACATTTTCTTTTCTCTAGCTTACTTTATTGTAAGAATATAACATATGAAATGCATGTAAATTGACTATGTTATCAGTAAGGCTTCCTGTCAATAGCAGGCTATTAGTACTTACGTTTTGGGAGGAGTTAAAAGTTATACATAGATTTTCAACTGCATGGGATATTGGTGCCTCTAACCCCCATGATGTTCAAGGGTCAACTGTACATTTATAATATATACATGCCTATGTAAAATGTACATAGAAACACCTAACACACCCACAGACACTGAAAGATTTTTGAATTCACTTTCTATCATTTAAAGAATTTTACCCTAGGCACTACTGTGATTTGTAAGTATATAAATTAGTTTTTTATTTGCATGAGGATGTTTGTCTTAAGACAACATTCCAAGCTTTCAAAATAAAGGGTCAGTTCGTCTTTTTTTCTAAATAAAAATGTGATTCTATTTTTTCAGTTACTGATTTTGAATGATGATAACATGATTACCAGCTATCAACCAATGGATTCTGGAGTGACTATTGTCGCTTAAAATCCCTTTAGTACTCTCTGAAATGATGTGTCATATTGTTATTTTTGTGTCTGTAAGGCTGTCTTTCAAGTAGATTCTTAAGTCCCTTTTCTCATTGCTCTCTAGAAACTTCAATGGTAACTCATCTGTTGTCTCAGTTTGTTAATGTCTGGGCATAAGGACAGAAACTAGAAAAGTAAGTAGTTGGTTTACTTTAATAATAGATGTCACAGAAACCAAGGACAGGAAATACAGCCAGGCCTCATGAAAAAGGAAGCTTAAACTGTAGTCAGTGTAAATGATGTTGAGTGGAGCTTTTTCTGATATTTGGGAATCACAGTTAAGGCTACTTGTAAGCTAAGCTGACAAGAGGCTCTAAGTACTTTGCTTTCTAAAGAAAATTCCAATAAGCAATGCACAATGGATGCCAGATCTCTCTCTGCAGAGCTTACCAAATATCGCTCCACCACTTTCTTTTGGTGAATGAAAATAGTTCTGTGGGCAGATAGAAGAGCCAGAGGATGTTGGCAGTACACTTGGGAAGAGTATACCAAAAATGGTAAGAGGTTATTCTATATTCCTTCCAGACCACTTGCCCCTTCTCAACCATGGAAAAAGAGAAAGTGAAGTATTCTTACTACTATCAAAGTCAAGTTTAAGGAACAGCCAAAGATAATCACTAGGAGAGATTGGGCATACTTCTAAGAAACAGAATTGGACATCTTTTTCCCTGGCTGGATGTTTGTCAAACTGCAGAAATTAAAAGCCCACTATTGAGCAACAATTAAAGCAGTAAATAACAAGGAAGTTTTTAGGAGACCTCGACTTGTATCTTCTGAGTTTGGGATGTTGTCCATTTATTGTCTACAATTTTCGGCCGGCCAAGGATCATCTGGAATATCTCATAATATTAGGGCTAAGAGGAAGTATGATGAAGCATATTTAGAAATTGATGGAGCCTACCTCTTTCCGTCTTTGTTCTCTTTTTTTGTTTTTGTTTTTTTTGTTGTTGTTGTTTTTGAGACGGAGTCTCGCTCTGTCGCCCAGGCTGGAGTGCAGTGGCGGGATCTCGGCTCACTGCAAGCTCCGCCTCCCGGGTTCACGCCATTCTCCTGCCTCAGCCTCCCGAGTAGCTGGGACTACAGGCGCCCGCCACTACGCCCGGCTAATTTTTTGTATTTTTAGTAGAGACGGGGTTTCACCGTTTTAGCCGGGATGGTCTCGATCTCCTGACCTCGTGATCCGCCCGCCTCGGCTTCCCAAAGTGCTGGGATTACAGGCGTGAGCCACCGCGCCCGGCCTTTGTTCTCTTTTACTGACAGTTGGAGAGAGAGAATATCTCAGCAGTTACTGGATAATTGATTGAAAGAGAAAGGGAATTAATATAGTGGCAGAAGACATGGGCAGCTACCAGTCAAAGCAATGGGATACCAAATATGAAAAAAAGGGGCAAAACTGGACTGCTAGCAGGATCACAGAGGAAAAGAACTACCTCTGTCTGAGGGGATGAGCAACAGCGGCGGGATCTATGATCAAGGTGAAACCCTTTCTAAGAAAATCACAACTATCATTTTCTCAGGTACATCCAGCATCAGATGGAATCAGACTGAACTAAATATCCAGGGATACTTACCACCAGAGATAATCTTGCCAAGTTAAGTAGGGACAAAT